>NC_000012.12:33497845-33650541 GCF_000001405.40 Homo sapiens | reverse complement strand
ATCTTCCAGTGGCAAATGCTAGTTTTAAAATAATTCTCTTAGAATGGAAACCATGCCTCTTCAGCCTTTCTATATCTTCAACCAGAGTAGAAAATTTTTAATAATTTAATTTTAAAAATCAGGTCATAGCTCCTCTAATAAATTTAAATTTAAATAGATTAAAATTTATCCCTGGGTGGAGAGCAAATTGAAATCAAAGACTGCACGCTGTGCTTCTCAACCTTTACGGTGCATATCAATAGTCTGGGTTTTTTAAAAATAAACGCATATTCTGCTTCCAAATAAGTGGGATGGGGACAGATATTTGCATCTGTAACAAGCTCCCATGTGTTGCCAGCTGTTAGTACACACAGGCTACATTTTGAATAACAATGGCTTTGAGTTTAGCAAAGGTTAATGAAGAATCTTGAGCACCTGTTGCCACAGCTGCTTTGAAAACGGGAAGGCCCTGAGCTTGCCTTTTTTATCAAATTATATTGGAATAACAGCTGAGGGACTTTTTTGAAGAAAATTGCTTTAAAACAACTAAGAATAGGAATCTTAGTTTCTGTTGGGGTGAAAGTCCCTTACTACTCAATTTATACTTATTTTGTATCTTGTGACAATGAAAGGATCATGATCAGTTTGCTGGTAGTTCTCCTGGATTTATGTTCTGTAAAACATAACCCACTGTCTTTGAACTACATGGGCTTTATTCTAAAATATCTCTGGGAAATGAGTGGCTGAACTTCATATATTAAGAAGGTTTAAGTACTTTTGCCTTGATTTTCTATTCAGGAATGAGTATAATAACAGTTATGACCAGCGGGTAATTTTTTTAAGTAATATAAATGTTCAGTTTTCCTCTGGCAAATGATTTACTAAGTCACAATGTGACTAAAATACAGCTAATATACAAGACAATTATACCAGATGTCTTAGTCTGTTTGGGCTGCTATAACAAAATACCTTAAACTGAGTAATTTATAAACAATAAAAATGTCTTGCTTACACTCCAGAGGCTGGAAAGTCCAACAGGAATGCGCTGGGAGATCTGATGTCTGATAAGGGCTCACTCTCTGCTTCCAAGATGGCACTTTCTGTGTGTCCTCACATGGTGGAATGACAAGCAAGCTTCCTTGCACCTCTTTTATGAGGGCATGAATCCCATTCACGAGAGTCTGACCTCATGGACTCATAACCTCCTAACCCTATCTCTCAATATTAAAACAAGTAAGATTAGATATATAAATTTTGGAGGGACACAGACATTCAGACCATAGCACCAGGGAAAAAGAGACACAGTGACCTGACATAAGTTTACTACTGAGTAGTTGGCTTTCGAAAATTAGAGTGGCAGCATAATACAATAGTGAGAACTCAGGCTCTAGAACAGGCAGAACAAAACTCATCTCCAGATCTGATTTTCCCTAGTTCTGTGATCTTGAAAGAGTCATTTCACTTCTCTGAACCTGTTTCCTCATGTATAAAATGAGGTTATTCAGAATTACCATTCAATCTAGCGTCTCATTATTGAGTATATATGTAAAGGAATATAAATTATTCTATTATAAAGACACATGCATCTGTACATGTGCATGTTTATTGCAGCACTATTCACAATAGCAAAGAGATCAAATAAACCCAAATGCCAATCAGTGGTAGACTGGAGAAAGAAAATGTGGTACATATACACCATGGAATACTACACAGCCATAAAAAAGAATGAGATCATGCCTTTTGCAGCAACATGGATGGAGCTGGAGGACATTATCCTAGGCAAACTAACACAAGAACAGAAAACCAAATACTGCATGTTCTCACTTAAAAATGGGAGCTAAACAACAAGAATATATGGACATAAAGAAGACACCAGGGCTTACGTAAGGGTAGAGGGTGGGATGAGGGAGAAGATTTAAACAACTACCTATTGGGTATTATGCTTATTACCTGGATGATGAAATGATCTGTACACTAAATCCCCATGATACACAGTTTTCCTATGTAACAAACCTGCACATGTACCCCGAACCTAAAGTGAAAGGTAAAAAGGTAAATAAATAAAAATAAAATGAGGTTGTTAACAGCAAGCGTGGCATAATGCCTGTAAAATGTTTATTATTTTCTATTATATAAGCTATAATTTTCTTTTTAAAGAAAGGAAAGTGATTATATTAAAGTAATGAATAATTGAAAAAGTTTTGTTAAACAGACTAAAGGAAGAACGGTGATCTTTGTAAAATTGTGAGACTCATCCTCTCCTAAAGCATTGTAAAAACAGATGATTGTGAAGTGAGGGTGGTATATTGTTAGGAAAGTAACATAGATACATCTTGGTCCTGTTTTTTATAGGCATGAGAATTTGGTATTTTTTTCTATTCATATTTCTTAGGCATGAACTAAATTAGCCAATTACATAAAGGTCATATTCCTGGAGTTCAGTCATGAACTAAATAATTGAAAGGTCATTATTTAGTCTATTATAGAGGAAAAATGAATTTCTAAGTTCTTAGAGCACAGTCATTTAATGACTTTATTAATCTATTGTTTATATAAACTGAAGAAAAATAAGTTAAAGAAGTTGAGCAGGTTGTTTTTCTATTGAGAACTTTATAGTAAAACTTAACTTCTCATAAAAAGAATAATACATAAGAAAAGGCATTTAAGAATAAAATTATGTTACGTTACACAAGAACAGAAAACCAAACTACATGTTCTCACTCATAAGTGGGAGTTGAACAACGGGAACACATGGACACAGGGAGGGGAACATCACACTCTGGAGCCTGTCATGGGATGGGGACTAGGGGAGGGATAGTGTTAGGAGAAATACTTAATGTAGATGATGGGTTGATGGGTACAGCAAACCACCATGGCACGTGTATACTTATGTAACAAACCTTCACGTTCTGCACATGTATACTTTTTTAAAAGTATAATTTTAAAAAAGAATAAAATTATGAAGAGATTATGGAATCTATAGTATGAGTAATGTACTAATTTTGAATCTTCAGAGGATACTGTGCTGTACCATTTGATTACACAACCTTGTATGATAGTATTTTCACTGTGATATAATAACAAATAAAATGCAAGAATGTTATAAAATATTTACTAGATTAATGATTTTTCTGAGAACTGCAATGACAAAACCACAAACCTAAATACCTTATCTAAGAGAATAGGCAATTCTCTCCCATTAATAAGTTATACTAGAACTCTGAAAAATTTTAATAATTTATATGGATCACATATTTTTCATACTTAGGTGTTTCAATTGATTATTGAAATTCATTAGGTTAAATCTTGGGATCTGCCAGAGCTCCTGCATTGTTTTAAAACCACTGAGGTTTTGGTCTATTCTTTTACCCTCAATGTAGATGGTCTTGAGATTCTGCTGGAGCAGAAAAATTATTCTAATAGTTCATCTAACTGATTTCTGAAATGGCCACAAAATTAGGCTTATCTAAATATTTTTAAAATATTGACTCAGAAAGGAAAACAAAAGCGATTTGAGTTGAATGAGGCCACTGAACATCTTTCAATTTTATTGATATTTTTAGATTTTGTTCTTACTTTAATTTTACCATTTCCCAAAGAATTCAAAATGCTTACTAAAGTCTAACTCTAAATATTCCACTCCTTACGGTATTTTCATATATATTATTCTTATACATGTTACATAAAGCCTACATGTTATTGTTTTAAATATTAGGTATTATTTTATATTTATCTTTTTTTGTGCTTTCATTTCTTTCTGCAGTTTTTTGTTTCCATCTGAGATTACTTTGCTTCAGCGTAAAGAAATTTAGTGTTTCTTTTAGTGCTGATTGCTTGTATTGAATTAAATCAGAGGAATCAGAAGGTTGTTTTGCGCTGTGTGTTTTGTTTTGTTTTTGGTGTAAAGAGATTGTTTTCTTACCTTCATATTTGAAAAATACCTTCACTGGATATGGACTTCTTGGATGGCAGGTGGGCAGGTTTTCTTTTAGCAGTTTCAAAATGCTATTCTATTGTTTTCTGCCTGTCATCATTGCCATTTAAAAGTTTGCTGTAAGCCTGTTGATATTTCATACAAAGGTATGAATTACCTCGATTGTTTTGAAGCTTGATTTTTATGGTGGGCATATTTTATTTGATCTTTCTGTGATCTCAACTAAAACCCTAGGATATTTACCAAGATATAACCCTCAAACTAAATTTTTACTCTGATATTTTCATAGCATTGTGCAGGATCTTACATCTCACTTCAGCTTTCCAACATCATCTAGGCTGCCTGGAGTCTTGACCTGTGCACCTACAGAATAAAAGGCATCCAAAGACGTTTGTTACTATCTCAGAACTCCAATTTCTGTTGACTACATTCAGCAAGATCTTTGTTTTCTATTTGGACTTTATTTCAATATGCTACAATTTGGAAAATATCCTCAGAAAGAAAACCAGAATGAACATAGAGCTCATCTTTTTGCAGACTGTTTTTCATAAATTATAACTTTGAATTGGTTTCTGTCTAATGACAGGAAACAAATGTTTTATAAATTTTGTTAGTTCAATGACAGTCACTCAATCATGATTTGAATGGGAAGTCCTACTGCAAAACTCATTTTAATTATATAGACCAGTATCAGTGGTTTGATCACTCAATAAACCTTATTTTTCTGTCTAAATCATCAAAGTCTCCAGAAGTAGGAGATACATGATCCTACTTCATACATTTTTACAAGATAAAGTCTTTTCTCCTATTCCCATGTAAGGAATATGTTCACATTTCAATAACATGAAGAACAAATACTTTTATGTACACACATATACAAATATATATTCATAATACACCTTTGCTTGAATATTTTACATACAACAAATTACTTTCATCCTATATATTTTACTGCTATTGTAAGATAAAGTCCTTTCTTTCATTCTTATGTAAGGAATATGTTTGCATTTCAATAACATGAAGAATAAATACTTTTATGTACACACACATATATACAAATAAATATTCATATATACCTTTACATATTTTATATACAGCAATTTAATTTTATCCCTTATTTTTTCAAAGAAACTAAGTAATTGGTTAGTTTCTTTGTAATCAGTATCCATTTAAAAGCAGTTTTATGAAATTGCTACTAAAAAATCTGAACAGATGTTTAATTTTCATTTTTAAAGGAGGATTCTGGCAGATATAGACATAATTGTCCTTTCAATTCAAATTAGGATTTCGACCAACCTCCTTTCATGTGCACGAATAGCACATGTCCTCAGAGATAACAGATAATTTTTCCACCTAAAATTGTGACTGCATATCTTTGCTTTGGCTCTGATAGTCTGGGAATCTGTCAATTAGAACAACATCTCACAAAATGATCAACAGAATGTTGTGTGCCAAACGTTGGGATCTGAAATTATGCTTTCCATTCCCACTCATTAATGCAACTAAAATCAAATTGTTTCCACAGTGGAGATTAGAAGAACATAGCCACCTATCTCTGAGCTGATTTTGTTTGTGTTATCAAATCGTGACCAAAACACAAAACATTATTTCCAGTCAGACTCACTGTCATGGCTTTTTATTAGTTTATTATTATTTAATAGTAGTTTTAAATAATACATTGGTTTTTTTATTGGCTTACCTTATCCATAGTCTCAAATTAACTAAAAATCATTAGTTTGAAAACTATTATTTTGTTCATTACATAATTTAAATTGAAAAAATGTTATAATGATGAATTTTAGTTCAAAAATGAAAGAAAAGTCACTTTCATTGGCTATTTGGTATGTGCTACAACCTTTGACACAAATGGCATCATTTTATCTTGATAACAATCCTACAGTAAACATTTTCGGAATTATTTTGTAGATGAGGAAATAAGCTCAGAGAAGCTCCTCAACATGCCTAAGATCATATAGTTTTTGAGTGGCAGAGTTGGAATACAAATAAAAGTCAGTCAGACTTCGAAACTTGTGTCTTTTGCAAACCAGTAGGACAATGTGAACCTTTACTTTGGAGCAGAAGAAGGCAGAGAACAATCATTTCTTGCTTGTAGACTATGGCTTACGTTGTTCCTGTGTCTCCTGATTGACAGCCGAAGTAAACAACGTGGTTTACCTTTGCCAGCACTTTGTTCTCCACTCAATACTCATTCAGGCTAGATGAACTCCTGATTGGGTTCTCTGCTTCCATTTTTTCCCTCTGGCTACTATGCATCAGCTTATTTTTCATCTTTATAATGTCAAATGTACCAGGTTTAGTGTGTCTTTATAACTCTGACTCCTTAGCTAAAGATGTGCCAGTAACCCAATCAAATAATATTTCATTTCACATTTTCTCATTGTGTGTGTAATCAGTTTTATAATTAGAAAATGAGTATACTTGATTCCTTTTTAGAAGTGGTTCATATCTTGGAATACTCATTTTTAACAGTTTGATTCATCATCCTTACTTTGAATAATTATTAAAATATAAAACAGCCAGAAGTATCTGTTTTCAGGAGAATTTCCCCACCTTCCATTGTATATTAAGTATGCTTTTGTTATCATAGTCTCAATGAACTTCATTCTTAATGGTTTGAAATTCCACTGAGTCAGTGTACCATAGTTTACATAGCATTTCCTTATTACTGGCTATTAGGTTTTGCAAAAATATTCCCTATCAAAAATCAAGATAATGTGAATTAATTGTTATAAGGCCTTTCTACATTTATAATAATGTTGATAGGCTACAATAACAGATAAATTCCTGGTCAAACACACCTATATTTTTAAATTATCTAATAAATATCAGCTGCTCTTTGGAAATCCTTCTGAAAATCATTGCCTATATTTTTCTTAAAATATTTTTCATCACCTAAAGTTGGCAGATATTAAGTCTCTAGGGATTACACACACTGATAACACTTACTCTGCACCTTTTCCCATTGCAGATACAATTCTCCACCACTCCTCTAATTTATGGAAGTAAGTACTCCCTGATTTTAGCATCTTTTTACTTTATCCTTTGATATCACATTGGGTAACTTTGTCTAAATGAAGAAATAGACAAACTCACAGTCACAATTTGAGATTTCACAATTCTTCTCTCAGTAACTGATAGGACAAAGAAGGATAAAGAAGACTTGAACCACATTACTAGCCAACTTAACCTAATATAGAAAACTCTAGGACCAACCCCAGCAAAATACATATTCTTTTTAGTGCACATTGAAAAATCACCAAGATACACCACATTCAACAAGACTCAATAAATTTAAAAGAATTGCACTCATACAAAATATTTTTTCTGACCACAATGATATTAAACTATAAATCAATATCAGAAAGATATCTAGAAAATATGAAAAATATTTGACAATAAGCATCATATTCTAAATAACTCATAGATTAAAAGAGAAAATACAAGTTAAATATTTTAAACTGAATGAACACGGAAACATGAGGTATCAAATTTTGTAGGAAGTTGCCAAAACAGAGCTTAGAAGGAAATTTATAGCATTCAAAGCTTATATTAGGAAAAAAGTGCTCTCGAATTAGTAATCAAGTTTCCACAATTTGATACTAAAAAAAGAAGTGTGAACTAAACCTAGTGTAAAAAATAGAAACAAAATAATCAAGTTAAGTGTAGAAACTAATGAAATAGAAAATTAACAGATAATAAAAGTCAATAAAACAAAACTAGTTTTGTGGAAAAATAAAATTAATAAATTCCTAGACATCCTGATAAAGTAAAACAAACCAAAAAATGGGGTAGGGAGAGAAGACACAAATGTATCTAAAACATGCCCATAACTTAGTAGGCTATAAAACATGTTAATTTATGAATGCCATAAACAACCATCCTAAGGATACAAGATGCCAGAAAAAACACATATGAAAAACAAACATTAATTTGCTTCATCTTTGACTACCTTTTTGGCACCATCTTCACTCAGCTTATCCAAGTGAAATTTCACATGACATACCAAGCTTTACCCAGTTTGAACAGACTGAATTCTGTTAGAAACTTGCAAAGCGCCTATGGCATTTCTATACCTTTGCTAACCTCCTTCAAAAAAATAGTATTAAATATGTGTCAATGCTCAAGCCCAGAAAGTTCTGGTAACATTAATTTGATTAAATACTTTTTTCAAGAATATTGAGGAACTTTTCATGCTGAGAAGTTAACTTTTGAAAGAGGATGCTTGAATGAAGGTAAATACCAGCTACCACTTCCTTTATTCTTTTTTAAATAAGAAGTAAACTAAAGCAACTACGAATCTTTTCAAAATCAAGGTCTATCTGGATTTACAAGAAAAGGGACAGATTATCTATCTAAAACAATGGAAAAAAAGAACCAGGAAAACATTTGTACCTGGGGCAAAAATCTAAGTAAATGACATCTATCTATTCTTTGCTACTATGAAGAATTTCCCTTATTACTTCCTCCCAGGGCTGGCCCATGTTATTAAGGGAGCAGTGATAGTTCAAATTCTCAACAGAACAATTGATATAGCGATTACAATGAAATATAGAGAAAAAGCATAGTACTATGCTTGAATAAAAGATCTCTAGTTATTATTACAATTATTACATTAATTTTAGCACACGTATGTAAAATGTCCAAGCACATTTATTTATGTGTTTATTAGTGTCTTGCTCACAATTGATCTTCAATTAATAAAAGTCAAATGACTGTTATATAGAAAGATGTTGATCTTTTCTTCCATTTTATATTCCTGTATATTTCTATAATATCTGGTATTAATTTTTAATATCAGTTATTAGAAAAATTATACCATAAGCTTTGAGAGACAGTTAAATAAGGTAAGACCTTTACAAATATTCATTAATGTGAATACTTAAAGTGTGACAAATGAAAAATATTCAACCAATAAAAATCTTTTTTAAAAAGTATAATTAGTAGAATCCAGATTATTCGAATTTGGAAAATAAACTTTTAAATGGAAAATATTTCAACATATATGTAAATCGCTACTAAAAAAAGACTAAATACAACTCATAAAGGTACACATATAAGATGAACTGAATCAAATGATTATTAAATTGCGTACCATCATATTTTGATTTGATATACAGTGGCACTTTTCACTTTAAGCATAAAGTCTCAACAAATCAAGTATATTGAACACACCTATCTGATGGAAGACACAAGAAAAAAGTCCTCCTTCTCCTAGAAGCAGATAAGTGAACGCAGAAAAGACAGACTAATTTTTTAACTACATATTGTGGAGTCATAAAGGCTATGAGAGACGGCCTAAAATGGTATGACCTTCACTGAGTCAAATTAAGCTCCTGGGAGATTTGCTCGGAGGGCAGAGATAGAAGACTTTTGGTTTACTCCGGTCCATTAGGACTGCAGGTTTTCAAAATTGCTACTCTGACTTGGGTCATTCCTCTCATCAAAATTTCTGGGAGCTTCTGAATTAACAAATCATTTTGAAGTAGAAGAGAAAAATAATAAAGGAAAAATAAGGCCACTAAGTTACGTTCTTTGAACAATGGTTTTTTAAAACCTGGATAGTCACAAAATGAAAAATGTTTTAATAAATGAATTACAGTGACCCAGCTCTTAAAGCCTGATATTCAACTTCCACAACTGCCATTAACCCAAAGAGGAAGAGAATGTAATAGCATAACTTCATTGCAATTCAATGGACTTGAGCAAGTTATTTCCTCAAATGATAGCTCTTTCATGATGTTTATTCTTTTTTCTTTCTTATGTTCACTTAGTTACTGAATGGGAAAACCACACAGCTTCCTTTTGAAAACATCCTTGAAAGGAAGAGATCTACATTTCTCAAAAGAATCAATTTTAAAAATTAACATTGTATTTTTTCTTGATATAAAGAAATAAATCTTTTTTAATGTTATTTTTATTTATAAAAGAAATGAAGATAAATTTATAACCTATTCATTCTTGGATATTCTGACTTTTAGAAGTATAATTACTTGAAAATCCTACTCCTTAAACTTTCACTTAAAAATATACAACACGTTTATTGAAACTTTGTGCCAGGCACTATGGAGAACAGATAAATGTAGCTGGTAATAGTAAGAAATAGAGTAAAATATTTACTCAAAAAACATTCATTCAAAATCAGAAAAGCTTTACAAAACTTTCCATGATTATTAACTAATGTAAACATCTAAGAAGTCATTGCATATAATAGGCACTCTAAATCCCTGTTGCATAAAATCTTGGAAAGTTTTGGTAAGCAAGATCACTCTTTTTTTCTTACCTTTCAAAGGCTGATTTACACTTGTAATTTATCATTTCTCTTAAGTAGATTTGGGCTTTCTATATGACTGCTGTTTCATCTTTTAAAATTCTGTATATTTGTATAAACTTATATGGACTGTGTTTCTATAAAACTTGGCACAGATTCAGATTTCAATGCTTACTCACCAACTGCCATCTGGAGTAATTACTAACCCCTAACTTCCCTATGTCTTCATGGGGTTTATCCTTATTTACTCCCAAGGAATTGAGAATTAAATAATATAATGTTAGTGAGGATGTTCTGTGCAAAAGAAAGTGATATGTATCTTAGCTAAAATCGATATATTTCAATAACACGTTTTATACTTTGTGCAAGTATTTTTAATGCATTCATCGTGCCTTATCCTACAGAGGTTATATATCTTTCAAACTAACAAAATCCCCAGGAAATTAACTTAGCAAATAATGATATATATGAGTTATTTCACTGCTCATTACTTCATTATTTAATAAAGCAGAAGTTTTACCAAATGATTTAAATTGCATGGGCTGTATACTTTCTTTAGAGGATTTATGTCATTTAGTTCATCTACTTTCAGAGCAAAGTGAAAGGACCATGACTATGATTTCATGTACAAAGTTTGAAGTCCATATAAGGAGGAAAAAAAAGTAACAGTTACTTAGCATTTACTATGTCAGGTATTATTCCAAACATCTCACAAGTATTATTTTGATGACTCTGGTCAATTTCCTGAAGAAGGTGTGGGGTGGAAATGTGTGATACCTTTCCTCACCCATCATGAGTGTCATGGCTAACACTCCTATAGGAAAAGACAGGTGAACAAAAAAATAGCATAACAAATTTACTTAATCAAAATTTTGCATGACACAGGAAACTTCAGCAATGAAAATCTAAAAACCCAGGTAACGCTGTCTATTTTCATGCTTAGGTTTGATGAAGAATGGACAGCCATGCAGAAATGGATTGGACCAAAAGGTCTGATCTAATGATAATAAACAAGGGGGTACCCAGCAAGGCCTCTCTGTTTGAATTCTTCTTGACCTCTAGGTATAGCATTCCTTTTTCCCAGATATGGGGCAGGATTCCTTTAGAATGAGGGTCTTCATGGGAGAAGAGACAGAGTGACCTTTCTAGGTTTTATGACTTGCTTTGGGGGAGAGGGGTTCTAGTTTCTATGCCCTGCCTTGGGGAAGGGGAATTCTGGTTTCTATCATTAACTTTAGGGGAGAAAGAGGAGCAAGAGACAAGAAGATGAGAGAAGGTCAGAACGACCTTGTTTGTGAGGCTTTTTCCATTTTCTTTAGATCAAAGTACTCAGCATGCCAAGGTGCCATTCTTTGGGGTATCACATTTGAGCCCTAGCAAAGGTATTATTATCACCATATTGAAGATGAGGAAATTCAGGCTTAGAGAGGTTAAATAATGTGGCTAAGGATTTAGTAAGTAGGAATAGGAACAGGAATAAGAAGAAAAATCTGTTTCTACTTTATCACTTAATATTTTAGACTTTCTCAAATATCATTTCTCATCACTTTCTTGAAAAAAATTCCATTTTGAACAAGATAATTGTACATTTAAGCTGGATCTAATTTTAATAACTTTTGTTTGTCTTCAGATAACCAAAATTAACTGAATTTTAATGACTTTTTATTTCTGCAATCCACATCATTCTTAGGACATGAATATATGCAACATCTATTAAAATAAGGGCTTATTTAAATAAGATAATAAAAATATCATTATTAAGATTAATTCAATAACACATTGTAAATGGTAGCCACCATCACACTACCCCACTCTAGAAAACCACACATTTGACTCTTAATTTTTTAATAGCGTTTTATTTTTCCAGGCTTAATTGCATTCTTAGATTAATTGCATCTAAATGTCTTACCTTGATCTATAAAGTCCTACTTGATACGTCCCCTTGCAACCTCTCTGACCCCATTTCCTCCCTCTCTTCCCCTACACACTGGGCTCAGCTTACTTTCCTCAAATACACCCAGCAGCCTTCCTCATGGGCTGTCATACTGCTCTTACCTCTTCCTGGAGCATGGTTCCTCTTGATAGTCACAAGCTCCCTCCCTGACTTCACTGGGGGCTTGCTCAAATGGTACCTTCTCCATGAGGACTTCTTTGACTACCATGTCTATAACAACACCTCCATCTCCCTCTATACCTTTACCCTGTGTTGTGTATTTATTTATTTAGCACTTAATACTGTTGGACACATTCATTTCTCCATCCTCCCCTTCATACTATTGGACACATTCATTTTGCCATCATCCCCATAGATCCTGGTGTTCGCAAGAGCGGGGACTTTATCCTCTCTTGTTCACTGGTGCTTTCCTAGTGCCTAGAACAGTGACCTCTCAATAAATATTTGTTGAAGAAGTGAAAATTATGTGTTAATAGCCTCTGACAAGGGAGTAGATTTAGATTAGATTATAACATGTAATACCTAAAGACGTTTATATGTAAATAATTATTTAACTGCCTATCTTTTGATCATTGGCAGACTGGATGCCAGGTGTAGGAGGCCATGAGGTAGGGAAGTAAATAGCAGGAATTAAGAAACTGAATTATCACATTATCTATGTTTATGGATTTAAGTAAGTCATCTTTCTTTCTGGATACAAGTTTCATTGGCAACAAAATTCCATCTCAAAGAATTAAAGATCATGTCCAAGATCACAAATAGATCATGGAGGAGTTTGGTTTGTAACCCACGTTTGTTCATCTCTAAAGAGCCTAACCTCAATAGCCTTTCTCCCATATTAAAACTGAATAGGAGGGGTTCTGTCTCTCGGCTTTGGAGCAACCCTCCCTCTGTCTCTGTACGGGGGAGCTTCTTCTTTCTTTCTTCCCCCTTCTTTCTTGCCTATTAAACTCCCTGCTCCTTAAAACTAAAAAAAAAAAAAAAAAAAAAAAAAACTGAATAGGAGAGTTGACATTTATTCGATGATTTTAATCTGTGAAAATAGATCAAATAATTTTTTATAATAGTCAATCACTCGGATAGTTATTTCTTGGGCTAAATTTCTGGGTAATTTCCAATATTTTTTTCATTTGTTTTGAAGATCTTAGCAACAAATACTGATTACAGAAAAAAAATGCTAATATAAAATGTTCAATGAGAAAAGAAAACTTTAAAAATTTCCAAATTGAAATAACCAGTATTTATTTATTTATTTATTTATTTATTTATTTATATATTTATTTTTGAGACAGAGTCTTGCTCTGTCGCCCAGGCTTGAGTGCAGTGGCATGATCTCTGCTCACTGCAAGCTCCATCTCCCGGGTTCACGCCATTCTCCTGCCTCAGCCCCCCGAGTAGCTGGGACTACAGGTGCCTACCACCACACCCGGCTAAGTTTTTGTATTTTTAGTAGAGACGGGGTTTCATCGTGTTAGCCAGGATGGTCTCTATGTCCTAACCTCGTAATCCGCCCGCTTCGGCCTTCCAAAGTGCTGGGATTACAGGCGTGAGCCTCCGTACCCGGCCGAAATAAACAGTTTTAATCACACTGTGGGAAAAAAATAACCAGAATACAGTTAAACATAAGCTTTTCTTTAGAATTCTGAAACACAAGAATGCCCCAAAGGAGTGTGGTGTCTTAAGGAAGAAGGGATGCTTTTTTTATAGACCTTCGGTAATAGGGGTTAGTTGTTCATCTGTTTCTGCAATAGCAGTCAAAAAAGTAATTGGAAAATAGTGAAATGGTTTTTGTAGTTTAATAAAGAGATGGCTGGGCAATTTGTTTATCAAGTGGTGTAGGAGAGAAATAGATGCACGATCCAATGACATGTGAGCGTCACAGCAAAAATTTTCAGTCCTTCAAGGTCTCCCATAATCTTTTGGTCAAGGAGGAGACCGAGTTTCATTGCTTGACTATAACTTCGTACAATCTGTCAGATCTATAACAGTCTGTCAGTTATAATCCCAGACTCCTTGGTGACTTCCAAAAGTATTTCTTATAACTTTTGTCTTCGTCATTGGTTTTTTTGTTTGTTTGTTTGTTTTTGAGACAGAGTCTTGTGGCTAGAAATCAGAGGTGTGATTCTAGCTCATTGCTGCAGCCTCAACCTCCAACACTCAAGTGATCCTCCTATCTCAGCCTCCCAAGTAGTGAGGACCCAGGTGCATGACACCACATCTGGCTATTTTTTTTAATTATTATGTTTTGTAGAGATGGCCTCACCAAGTTGCCCAGGCTGGTCTCGAACTCCTGGGCTCACATGATCCTCCCACCTTGGCCTCCCAAAGTGCTGGGATTACAGGCGTGAGCCACGACACCCAACCTGCAGTTGAATTTCAGTCTTTTGTCAAATGAGTACTTACATGGAATATTTAAAATTCTGGACATAATATAGCAAACAAATGTTGAAACAAAAGTGATCAAAGGAAGCCTTGGATGGTATCTCTCAGCCAAGTCCTGCTTCCTGTGGGATCAGCCAGGATAATAAATCTCATCCCACCTAGAGTTTGTGGAGAAGAGAGGTGCTTTGATATCAATAGGTTTGTATAATTTTTTTCTACTCCTGACTTTTTTTTTTTTTTTGAGATGGAGTCTCGTTCTGTCGCCCAGGCTGGAGTGCAGTGGCACAATCTCGGATCACTGCAAGCTCCACCTCCCGGGTTCACACCATTCTCCTGCCTCAGCATCCCGAGTAGCTGGGACTACAGGTGCCCACCACCGTGCCTGGCTAATTTTTTGTATTTTTAGTAGAGACGGGGTTTCTCCGTGTTAGCCAGGATGGTCTCGATCTCCTGACCTCGTGATCTGCCTGCCTCAGCCTCCCAAAGTGCTGAGATTACAGGCGTGAGCCACCGCGCCCGGCTCTACTCCTGACTTTGACAGAATAATAAGATGTTCTGAATTTTAAGAATCTCATTTTAGTAATCAGAATAAGAGGGGGAAAAATTTTAAGAATCTCCTTGTAGTAATCAGAAACAGAAGGAGGAAAACTCCAAGAGGGTAAAAGCAACTAAGAAGGGAGTGTTGCTCAGTGATTCCAGGCATTTGAGAATCTTGACCTTTTGGTCTTGGATGGAATCTATCCATGTTTAGTAATCTGTTGCTTGATCCGAGGTTCTTTGGAAAGATGTCTATGTTCTGATGCTGGCTGCTTTTGGACAATCTTGAGATAGTCCCAGTTTAAGATCTTCCATTATCATGGAAGTCCAGGAAGTGGTTATATACTGTCCTTTTAGCAAGAAAATGTGAAGAAAAGGGTTGATTCCCTAGAGTTTTACTGCACTGTGTGTGTTTAACAATGACTGATAAAGTATCTTCTAATGAGATTCAAGAGCAACTTTTAATGGTGTCAATTCCAGTAAACCAGATACCTAGCTGAAAGTTATGCAGTCATTCCTACAGTTTGTCCCAGGGAAAAGATAGCTGATAATAGACTGAGCATCTTAAATTAAGCCTATATACTATTTGACCATGTATACCTACAAAAGTGGGAGAGTGAGGGATTAGTGGTGAAATCGCCAGATGGCTGTACATTTCTGTCAGCATCGACCTATAGCTAAGGGAAAATACTTTAGTCATGATGACTGAAATTTCTTAGAGACATTTTCAAGTTTCAGTTTTAAAATGCCATTCATTTATTCTATTTTCGTTCAGGAAGTGGTAGGGGCAGTGAAGTTTCTTGGTGACATGCAGAGTTTCACATAGTTCCTAAATTACTTCCCTAGCAAAATGTATACCTGTATCAGTAGGCAAAGAGTTTAGGGTTCCTCAATTGAGAAGTACAAAGTCTAAAAGCTTTTTTGCTGCTTTACATCAAGAAAAGGCTTCTAGCCAACCAAAACCAGGCAGACAATATTAATATATCCAAAAACACACGAGGGGTAAATAAAGAAAATCCATTTGTTGTTCTTCAAAAGAGCCTAAAAGTTTAACTCATGTACACGTTTCACCTTTGCAGTTTTGCCAGGATTGTGCATTTGACAGATGAGGCATCACAGGAGTCATCTGTTATGTGTTTGAAGTTTTCCTATTTGAGCATCCCGGGGTGGACTAAACAGACATCTTGGCAACGTTAGAGACTGAGTGAAGCAAATCCTATATTTCCTAACTTGTTTCTTTAGAATCAGGTGCTTGAGGCTAGAGTTGACTAAAAGACCTGATGCCAAAAGTCAGAAATTAGTTATGGCTCTGATTTTTAGACTTGTTAGTCTAGGAGTGTGTTAAAAACAGCCTGGGTAGTATTATAATTTGATCAAGCATTACACTTTGCTTCTAGAGTCTTTTTTTGGGGGGTGTTTCTTCACTTTACTGATAGTTAATTCCTTTGGAAAAGGCAAGGCATTTAACAGGGCTTTCAGGTGATTGCCCTGTTTAATTGGAGAATCAGCAGCAGCAATAAAGCCACACTACTACCAAAACATAGCAAAACCATGAGCCTTGCAAAAACTGTAGCAATAGCTGCTATCTGTAAGAACATTTGTTCTACTATCGCTAGCTAACTGGTAATCATAGAATTTCAGGAGTGTGAGAAATTATAAATGCTATCTACACCATTTCTAAATGTATTGAGAGATTGTAAAACTAAAGCAAGAAATGTAGAAAATAATTATAGCTATAAATAGAAAATTGATCATAATTCTCAGGGCCACTATTCAGAAATTATCAATTCTCACATTTTGATGTATGTTTCATCCTTAATTCTATAAATATTTCTGTACAGTCACAATAACTCTGTGTATAAAAGCTAGTTATCTGCCTTATATACTGCATATTTTAAATAATTTCTATGTCATTATACTTTCTTTTTTTTTCTTTTTTTTCTTTTTGAGACAGAGTCTCGCTCTGTCACCCAGGCTGGAGTGCAATGGTGCAATCTCGGCTCACTGCAACCTCAGCCTCCCGGGTTCAAGCGATTCTCCTGCCTCAGCCTCCTGAGTAGCTGTGATTACAGGTGCCCACCACCACGCATGGTAATTTTTGTATTTTTAGTAGAGACTGGGTTTCACCATATTGGTCAGGCTGGTCTCGAACTCCTGCCCTCGTGATCTGTCCCCCTTGGCTTCCCAAAGTGCTGGGATTACAGGAAGGAGCCACTGTGCCCAGCCTATACTTTCATAAATATTACTTTTAATGAAATAATATTATATCAAATACAGATTCTACAAATTTCAAAATTATTGCCCTTTTTAGGCACTTGAGTTATTTCAATTTTTTCAAAGTCATAGATAACATAAAAGATTACTCTATAGGTATAATTAGTTCATTAAAGTATACATCCAGTAATAAAATTATTAACTGAAGGCAACGGATATGCTGGAGTCTTCCGATTCAGTTGCTAAGTTGTCTGCAGCATTACTTTCCTTCTTAGAAACATAAAATATATCAAAGTGTCCATTATGTCACTTTGCATCAGAATTAAATAATTTTTTAACATTGATGTCAATTTGATAATGAATATGGGGAGGAAAACAATGATAGGGAAGTCAAAGAGAAGAAGGAATCCAAGAGAGTGTTGCATTCTGAAAATCAAAAGAGAAGAAGGATTGAATATGTGATTCGTGATCTTTAAGACGCAGAGCTGCAAAGAAGCAATTCCCTGCATTACCTAAATATCTTCGGTGAATTTAAGAGAGTAATTAAAGTGGAGTGTGAGTGCAGAATTAGGCGATGAGAGGTTAAGAAGGTAATCTGTGATTAGTAATTGAAGGAAATATATGTGTGTAAAATACTACTTCTTTTTTTTTTTTTTTTTTTTTTTTTTGAGACGGAGTCTCGCTGTCTCCCAGCCTGGAGTGCAGTGGCACAATCTCGGCTCACTGCAAGCTCCGCCTCCCGGGTTCTCGCCATTCTCCTGCCTCAGCCTCCCCAGTAGCTGGGACTACAGGCGCCCGCCACCACGCCCAGCTAATTTTTTTGTATTTTTAGTGGAGACGGGGTTTCACCATGTTTGCCAGGGTGGTCTCGATCTCCTGACCACCCACCTCGTGATCCACCCACCTCGGCCTCCCAAAGTGTAAAATACTATTTCAAGATTTGAGAGGATAGTCAGTGGAAGCTTAGGAAGATAGCAAGAGAGAATATTTTAGAGATTTTGTACTTGAGCTTACTTTTAAGTGAAGGCACAAGGGACAGACCAGAAGACCATGGGTGTGAGAAAGAGCAAACTTTAACAAAAGGGTCTGTGAATAGCTAAGTAGACTACAAATACAATTAAATTATTCATTTATCTTAAAAATATTTTGGAAGTGTCTATGTATACATAAATGTTTTGAACAAAACACTCATTTGGTTTCTTCTGTGCTTTCATTTTTCTTTGTATCTTCAGTGTTCTCTATTTAGCACATCAGTGTTTCCACAATTAATTGCACTGTCATCTTTGAATAAATTACATTTTCAACTAAATATACTTTTGGTAAGATACTGAGCTATTCACCTTGTATTACCAACCTTAAGAGATGGACTTTCTAAAGCATTGTGTTTTAATAAGTGTTCTATTTGTGTTTAATAAATGTTAATAAATATTTTGTTGCTGACAGATAGCATTATTTGATATTGGAAAATCAAAAATCATTTCCCAATATATGTTGAAAGGAAATATGAAATGAAATTTTGAATTTTATCTAGGGATTTAAATCAATGAGGGCAACAAATATGATCATTCTGGCCAATCTTATTTTGTCTTCAATAACAATTTGTTTGAAGCTGCTTATGTGAACAACCGTTTAAATTTATCACCTAATTTTTCTAGTGAACAACACAAACTTTGGCAATTTCTAAATTAGTCAGTGAAGAACTATATATTGAGTCTGATTCTTCCCTATGTCCTAAAGCGAAAATAAACACCACTATGTCTGAATGAAATGTAAAGCACAATTCAGCCAGCCTCTACTGTGTTTTTCTACATAATATCATATATATGACTATAGAAAGCATCTAGTTTGGTTATAGAACAAACTCTTTCCCAATTAATTCATTGCTTGACTTATAAGAAAAAATGTACACCATTATCGCATATAATCATGAGACATAGCTTTACATACAATTATTAATGAAAGATGCCAAATGGGACAGAGCCATCTATATAATTTAAGCTATATGAAATATTTTATGATAGCCAAACACCATGCGTTAACATAGGTTCTATAACAAAGCCATAGCAACTGATTATAAATTATTTTACATTGGTCACTAAAAGAAAACATTACTCTAATTGATGCGTTTACTAGTATCTTTCAGAAAATTCATTTAGATCTTTGGGAAAAAAAAAAGCTTGCTCAGATGTTTGGAAGTAAACGGAGCACCTGGATGACTACGTCTTCTCTCCTCCAAGTCATGAAGGAGTCAAGCATGGCCATACTGCTTTCCTACTCACTGAACAGCTACACTTTGCTTTGCATAACAGATGTGTCCCCAATAAGCCTTTTGCAAATTTAATTCCATTTTCAAGAAATGTGTGCAATTTCCTATTTAGAAGTTGCCATTACTGAACCATTTTTCAATAAAGTAAATTCCAAAGCCATTTTCTAATCTGTTCATATTGTTGAAGCAAATCTAGATTTTCACAAGCTCCTTTTAGGACAAAAACATATGCACGTTATTACAGCTTTCCCTACTCTTGTGCACCAATGTGAAACATCATGCTATTTCCTGCAAACAGAAATAGTACACACATACATATATACACATATATTACTGGATTTCTTTTTATATTCATATAGGTACATATATATTTCATATACATATATGAATTTACATATGTAATGCATACATTACTGTATTTTTTACATATAATACATGTATACTTTAAAGGTAATATCTTTCTGATAGCACCCTTTGTCAAGATAGGTTCTCAAAATATACATATTGGTTGATGGATATAAGTAAATGACAGACTGGCTTTCTAGTCCCTTAGTTCTTTGGCATAAAGTACTACAGTTCCTTCAATGCCTAAACAGAAGTGAAGGTCCAAGAACAAATATGGGTGCACCAAACAAACTAACATCACTTAAACATTGTTTAACAATAGTTCCACTTGCATGGGTGAATATTTTTTGGCCAAGAAAACGTTTCTACTAGATTTACAAGAAATTTTTATTTTTATTAAGTTGGCTGATTGAACAAGCTGAACACTGCAAAATACAATCAACAAAAAACATTTTTCTATTTCCCACCTCTGCTTTCAAATATGTTTTTTGGAATCTTCATTTTTTGCTTCTAGATATCTCTTGCAGATACTTATCTTTCTGATCATTTTCACATATTAGAACCATTACATTTTCAGGTATTGAAAAGTCAAGTCCAATTTAAATCATAACTTCAATGTCTTTGCGTGCTGAAACATTTTCCACAGCCCCCTTTTCCTAGTTAACTCCTGCTAACCTTCACATCTTGGCTCAATCATTGCTGAGACAGAAGGAATTTCTTGACATATCTGATAATATCACATCAAAAGAAAATTCAGAAACTTATAGGAATATTAATAAAAGTATTTTTACTTGTAGTGCTCACAAGAGTCCAACCTTTGGAAGAACTGGACTTTTACATAAATGATATAGCAAGTATTTACAAAACAAAATTTTGTTTGTCAAATTTTGTGCTCAAATATTACAGTTGTCCCTTGTTAACTGCATTGGTTCCAGGACCCTTGACGTTACCAAAATCTGCCAATACTCAAGTCCCTTATATAAAATGTTGTTTTGGTACATAACCTATGCATATCCTCCTGTATACTTTCCATCATCTCCAGGTTATTATACCTAATACAATGTAAATACCATTTACATCATTGTTATATTGCATTTTTTTTATTTGTATTATTTGTATTGATGTGTTATTAAATTTTATTATTTAATTATTTTTTAAAATATTTTTGATCTATGATTGATTGAATCTCTGGATGCAGATCCCTCAAATATGAAGGGTTGGCTGTATATGCCAAATACTTTTTAATATGAAAAGATTCCTGTCCTCAGAGAGACTCATCTTCAAAACTTTCTTCCAAACTTTATCATACACCCAAATACTACTTGATTTCTCCACTCAGGTGTCACTTAGAGACTTCAAATTAATCTGTCCAAGACTAAACCTATGAGCTTTATTCAGTCTTTTATCTTGGTAATCAGCATCACCACCTGTCAAATTGTACAAGATAAAAATCTAGTTATCCCACCATATTTCTCTCTGTTCTCCCCCAACACCAAATTCAATCGTTCACCAAAAGTTATCATTTCCAAATCAGTCTTTACATCTATCCGATCTGGCCATTTTACCCATCCTTGGTATAGCTACTTCGAGGTG
This sequence comes from Homo sapiens, assembly GCF_000001405.40. Taxonomy (NCBI): domain Eukaryota; kingdom Metazoa; phylum Chordata; class Mammalia; order Primates; family Hominidae; genus Homo; species Homo sapiens. The sequence goes on along the minus strand of NC_000012.12, from coordinate 33,629,048 downwards.
ACCGTCGTCTCTCTCCTAGTTCACGGCAATGGCCTCCCAACAGGCCTCCTTCACTCTAATCTGGAGTGCTCCCCAAACAAACCATTCCCAGTCCTTTCCTTAGAACCATTTTTCTAAGGTGCAAATGTCATCATGCCATTCCTACATACAAGTCTTCTACTTTCTTCATAGCCTCATTTATGACAGCTTCCCACCTTACAGTTTATACTTCAATCATACTTACCTACTAGTACATCCACAAAACTCCATGCTTGGTCTCACTGCCCAGCGTTTAGACAAGTAACACGGCTGCCTGATATGTCCTATCACCTCACTTTTCCAGTGGCCAGCTTTCTCCTACACATTCCTCAAAATTCAGTTTAGGTTAAATAGTATTCCATTGGGTATATTACACCACATTTTCTTTTACCATTCGTTGATGAACACACGGTGGCTTTAGTTAATAACTGTATTGTGTTCTTGAAAATTGCTAGGAGAGCAGATTTAAATATTCTCACCACAAAGATGAAAAGTATGTGAGGTAATGCATATATTAGTTAGCTTGATCTAGCCATTCCACAATGTATACATATTTCAGAACAACTTCTAACACATAATAAACATATACAATTTTATTTGTCAATTCAATACATAAAATATTTTTTAAAACCACTCAACCTTGGCATGACTTTTGTCAGGAAACCTTACCTGACTCTCAGCACAGTGCTCCTTCTGTTTGCCTCTACAGTCTGGATTTATGTCTACCATAGCACTCCCCCTACTGCCTGTTCTTCATAGCTTCTTCCCTCACTACTTTGTGAGTTAAATGAGCACAGGGGTTTTGCTTTATTTTTCTCTTTATCTCCAGTGCTTGGCACAGCGGCACATTTAGTAACCAAATGGATAAATAAAAGGTTCACAGTATAATTAGGGTGAAAGCTGGATTAAAAAAAAGAATGACATATTTTACTTAAGAAGACATATAGGAGGTAACACCACGTAGTGATTAAGAGCATGGACTCTAGGACCAGACTGCTCATGCCAGGGGCACCACTAAAAATTCAAGCCAGTGACAGTTTATCTGTAGCTTAGCTCCCTTGTGAAATGAGGCTAACAATATTGTCTCCCTGCAGGGTTGTTAGCATTAAAGAAGGTAAAGCATGCAAAATTCTAAGCAATTAAAACAATTAAAAGTGTCAAAAAAAAAAAAGCATGGTTTATATGCTTAAGAGAAGAAAAAGTTTGGGAGCATGAGTAATAAAGGAACTAGATTAAAAAGTGCTAGTAAGTAAAGACGTGGTGAATGAAGAGATTTTTGAACAAACTATTTGCGTATTTTGAATCAGAGTAGAATCTTACCAAGTGGAGAATGTAGCAATCCCAAGCAATTGTGTCTAATTTGTAAAGTATTCCTTTGTTTTTAAGAATGATTGAGTTGGTTAATATTTTTAAGTGACATATTTTTCATCAGTACAAATGTATTTCTTTGTTTGAAACAGTTTTATAAAATTGTATTATTTTTCTGCTTTCACTCTATTTAATTTTAGAGCATGCACACCACTTCCTAAATAACACATAATGCAAGGCAGTTTGCATTTTAGTTTAGAATTCTATGAAGACCAAGAATAATGGTTTAAGTTTTTAATTATTTTCTCCACGAACTGCATAGAAATGAAATTAAGTGAAGAGTGCAAGGAAGTTACATTAAGTGAAATTGTAGAGGGGTGACATTAAGTGATGGCTTAAGATACACCACAAAGAGTTGCCTAGAATTACACCTGATAACAATCGTTCTCTCCTTTAGTTTCTCTTTCCCCATGCAAGTCATGTTAGTAAAAACCAATGTAAGCAAGCAAACTCTTGCTTATCAATCCAATCCAAATTTTTATTTCTCTTCTTTTTTTAAAGACAGAGTAGGTCGGGCGCTGTGGCTCACACCTGTAATCCCAGCACTTTGGGAGGCCGAGGGGGGCAGATCACCTGAGATTGGGAGTTCGAGACCAACCTGACCAACACAGAGAAACCCTGTCTCTACTAAAAGTACAACAAAATTAGCTAGGCGTGGTGGCACATGCCTGTAATCCCAGCTACTCGGGAGGCTGAGGCAGGAAAATCCCTTGAACCCAGGAGACCGAGGTTGCGGTGAGCGGAGATCGCACCATTGCACTCTAGCCTGGGTAACAAGAGCAAAACTCTGTCTCAAAACAAACAACAGCAACAGCAACAACAAAAAACCCAGGGTCTCACTCTGTCACCCAGGCTGGAGTGCAGTAGTGCAATCATGGCTCACTTCAACCTCAACCTCACAGACTCAAAAGATCCTCCCACCTCAGCCTCCCAAGTAGCTGGGACTATAGGCCACCACACTTGGCTAATCTTTTGAGTTTTTCATAGAGAGGGGGTCTCACTATGGTGCTCAGGCTGGTCTCAAACTCCTGGGCTCAAGTGATTCTCCCACCTTGGCCTTCCAAAGTGCTGGGATTACAGGTATAAGCCATCATACCTGGCCAATCCAATTTTTTTCCTTGACTTTTTATTTATTTAATTTTAACTTTTCATTTTAAATTCATGGTATATGTGATGGTTTGTTGTATAGGTAAACTCATGTCATGGGGTTTGTTGTACAGATTATTTCCTCACCCAGGTATTAAGCCTAGTACTCAATAGTGATTTTTTTTATTTATTTTTTATTTTTTTATTATACTTTAAGTTCTAGGGTACATGTGCACAATGTGCAGGTGATTTTTTCTGTTGCAGTAGAAGTTGGAAATAAAATGTGGACATGTATTTTCTTGGAATGCCTTATTAAACTTTGCAATGCTTCAGCTGAAAGGTCTATAAAATTGAAGTTAGCCTTAAAATGCAGAAGAGTCTTCAGAATAAAATCATTTTGATTTCTTTCTGCTCCTAAAATATTTCTTTTTGAAATTTAATTTATAAATTTGTGTTTTAAATAGAAATATATTAAAAGGCTAAGAATATATATTGGAAAATGCAAAAGCATTATTGCTTAGGGCTATAAATTGTATCCGGTATTCATGATCTACTAATATTGCAGCCCTTTGGTTTTCATCATCAGGGAACAAATGAAAGGGAAAACTTAAGAGAGCACTTATTTAGAATCATTCATCTCATTTTTTAATTCATGGTTTCACAGCCTTATTTGATCTGACCATAACTGTGTCTGTTACATGGGAGACAACTCAGGTGAGTTTTCATTGATCATATAGCAACAAAATATATTTCTTATTAAGTTTCTAAAATAATTAGAAAATATAGCAAAGCTAATCTACCTATACTTATATTGCAGTATTCTATTTCTCTTTATTGACTTTTTTGTGTACTAAAAATGTGGCAAAAAGTACTATGTAAGACTCTGTAAAGACTAGTCCTACCTCTCACCCCTCCATACACCAAAACAGCAAATCTGTCACAAATGTAGTAGGTTGAAACACGGGATATGAGTGTATCACCCAGGGGGTTCAAATTCTTGTCTCTGTCTTCCCCCAGAACAACTTTTCTGTCCTTGCCACCTCACTCAACTGCAGGCACATACATTAATTTCCAACCATACTAAATGGTTTCCACCTATTCTGTGTAATTTTGTGCCTTGGAATATTTGCACAAACCATTAGCCTCATCTGGGATAGATTTTCCCATGTCGTCACTTAGTAGGCTCAGTCTTTAAAACAAGCTGTATATTATAATGCCATTGTGAAACGTTCACTGACTGCCCTCAAGAAGCTTGATTTTCTTTCTCATTTTTGTTTCCCATAGTGCTGTTTATATCTCTCTTTACCACTTCTAATATTGCATTGTAGTTTTTTTGTGAAATGTTAGTTTTGCTTACCAGATTAAAAACAGGGATTGTGTTTTGTTCATCTCTTTATCCTCACCACTTAGAACAGTGTCTGAGACATTGCCAGCATCTAATAAGCATTTAAATGTTCTAAGAATTAACACATCTATCATGTGAAGTATAGCTATTTTCATATATATCCCAACTACATAGCCTGGCAAAAGACATACCTAGAATCACACATACACACACACACACACACACACACGCACACATACACACACAGTCTAAACCAATGGTAGGCCCTAGAATTTTCTTAATGCTTTCTATCATTTGAATCATCCATTCTTTCAAGATGGTTTTTTACTTGACATTTGGAGCTATCTAAAACCACTCTACAATGATAGCCTTCATACACGTAAAAACCAGTATCATATTACTGTTAATTCTTCTGCCCTTCTGCTCAACATTTCCATTTCTTTCAATCAACTAATCCCCATTATGTGATTTTCAGTCACCTCACTGTTATTTTGCTGTCTTCCAAAATAAACTTTAGTTTAGCTTACTTAGAGTAGAGCAGCAAGGACTTACTGCAATATTTATGTATAGACTGACAGTAAAATGTAACATATTTTCTAATCTTGACCTAGAGCAAAGGGTTACAAACTCCTAGGAAGAGTTAGGATTCCATGGAAGTGCTTCGGGGACAATTTTGGAGTGGAGTCGGTGCAGGAAAGCAGAAAGAAGGAGCACCAGGACACTTCACTTTAATAGTAAGATAGTTTCCTTTTTATTGTTTTGTATGCTTGGAATCTGTGTAATTTGGTTTGAAAAATATTTCTTTGGTCAAACTTTTGAAAATATATGTTCCACCTAATTTGCTTATTGTAATATAGTCTAAAATTGCATTTTCTTTTTTTAATTTTTAATTTAAAAAAATTTTTGTAATAACAACATATTTTTTAACTTGAAAAAAAATTGTTTCCCAATTTTGGTATTTTCTAATCACCTTGCCCAAAGTTTATTTTTAGAAATGAAATTCAGAATATGGCATTTAATGCTTCAAAATTTCAACGTGTTAAGTTCTGTATTTTCACATCTTAACTTTATTCCGAAATTTGATATTTTTCCTTTTTATAGCTAGATAAAATAACTTACAAAAGTATTAAAAATAGACAACACACATTGACACACCACCGGAGCCCAATGGGGCAAGAATTTTTTTTTTTTTAAGACAGAGTCTCACTCTATTGTCCAGGCTGGCAGTCTCGGCTCACTGCAACCTCTACCTCCTATGTTCAAGCTTCAGCCTCCCAAGTAGCTGGGATTACAGGCGCCAGGTGCCATGCCCAGCTAATTTTTGTATTTTTAGTAGAGACGTGGTTTCACCATGTCGGCCAGGCTGGTCTCGAACTCCTGAGATCAAGTGACCTGCTCGCCTCAGTCTCTCAAAGTGCTGGGATTACAGGTGTGAGCCACCATGCCTGGCTGGGGCAAGATTATTGAGAGAACTTAAATATAAATCCAAAAAAATTAGATTTATAGGCAAGAGGGGAAGATATTTAAAGATTTTGAGTCAGGATGTGATGTGTTTAAAGAGGTACCTTAGAAATATTGCTCTATTAAGGCAAGGATTTGATCTGAGAAGGTGGTCAGTTAAGAAACTCTAGGTGTAGTTAAAGTGTGACAAGATGAGGACTGGAATGGGAATGATGATAAAATGGAAGGCTTACGTGTGAAGAGCATTATGAAAAAATGTTTAAGATCTGTCGATTCATAGTATATGAGATGAAAAGAAGAAAAGGAGAAAAAATTAGAGATAATTCAAAGGATTTAAGCCTGACTGTCTGATGATATTACTGGTAATAAAGGAGAAGTCGAATTGTGGAAAAGACTAAAAATTCAAAATTAGATTTACTGGGTTTTATATGGCAGGCAAATGCCTAAGCAATGTGGGTGTGCATATACACACATGTAATATACATATATAATGTGCATATAATTTTAATTAAGACGCATTATATTTAAAACTCTAGGAGAGATTTCAGAGATGTAGAAAATAGATGATATGCACAGGGGCAAAGGATTTGGTTGGAATAATGGCTATCTATAGTCTATCCAGCACCTCACCTCTTCAGTGTTTTCTTCTCATACTAGACTCCAAGCCCAACCTACTTCCAAGCATAAATAAGGTAGGTAAACCAGGTTCAGAGAAATATTGTACCCCTATCACCTATACTAAATAGTCCTGAGTTAGGCAGGCTATGGAGGATGCTCTTGGTGCCTCACCCAGAACTCCTTATGTAATGATCTGTGAGTAATCGCAACTAACAGTTTACAGCTATACCCAATCCAGAAAATTGCCCTTGGACAGTAGAAACCACCTTCCCCAGAGATGTCTGGTAGGTACATAGCAGTCCCCTCGAGAGATGGCTCTCATCCCATGACTGAGTGGTGAAGGAGACAGAAAAGCCAAGACCAATTGCCTCAAGTGGGAAACTACAGTATCATTAAACCTCCCCAGGGATTAAGCTGAGGCTAGTCTGCTGAAGCCACACCTTGAGTAGCTTCTTCCCTTGCCCTGTTCTGACAGTCTCCTTTATAGGTTTCATCTGCAAGTATTTCCTCACTATATCACTTACACAAAAAAATTCTCATCTCGGGTTCTCTTTCTAGGAGCCTGACCTAGACTACATTTGAATTGTTCCAGGATAATGGGAGTCATTAACCAGGGTTCACCTGCTCGGATTGGACAAAAAGGCTCCTTTCTCTCTGGTTAGGAACTAAAATTGTCTGCATTCCTATCTGCTGACATTAAACAAAACAAAAAATGGTGTACACATTCAAAGAGAAGGAAAGAAGAGGGGAAAGTAGGTAATGAGGTAGGAGGGAGCATATGAATCCTCTATGATCAGACACTGAGGCTCCAGTCCTGATTCTTATATCTTGTCTTTTATTACCATGGTAAGGCTCAATTCCCCCAGAATTTCATTTTGGCAAATTTATCACACTTGATTTATTTAAAAAATAGGATTCCAGTACTTGAAACTGGAATCTAAATAATAAAGTAGCTTTACTAGATCTAGAAACTTCTGATGAACTCATGTCTTCCAATCCGTCTACAATGAATCTCTTGTAAAGTGCCATAAATGTGGCCACAAATGCTTCCAAATGATAAGTTACTGGAAATACTTCAGAAATAAAATACTCCTAGTTACCTTGCTCTGCCATTAATTATTAATTAATAAGCTTTGGTAAATCACTTAAACTTTCAGAGTTTGAGTTTTGTACTGAATAAAATAGGAATAAAAGTACAATGACTTTACGTAGTTCTTTCAAGGATTAAGTCATATGAAGAAGGTCAAATGCACCGTAAGTGCCTATTCACTATTTTAATTCTCTTTACTACCTGAGTTTTTGTTTTTGTGGGATATTTTTCTTTTACTTTTTAAATTTTGAAATGAGGTCTCACTACGCTGCCAAGGCTGGTCTCAAACTCCTGGGCTCAAGGGATCCTCCCACCTCAGCCTCCCAAAGTGCTGGAATTATAGGCGTGAGCCACCACGCCTGGCCTGCCTGAGTTTTCGAAACAGACTTCTTTTCTCTCTTTGGGACATGTCAACTGGTTTTATGTTATTTTTCACCCTTTTTGTTAAACAAGTTCTTTGTGCTAACTTCATGTTACTTTTAGGTTTCAAAGTCCATTATTTTTTATTTCAATGATTACGTTTCAATTTCTAGAAGTTTTGCTTTTTAATCTAAACTTATTTCTCATAATCTCTTGTTCTGTCATTAAAATGTTGATTTCTTCTTTTATCTCTTTAATCATGCAGTAATATTTTATAGCCTCTTCGAAATTATTTTATCATTTTAAGTTATTCAAGTGCAGAAATCTTTATTTATTTTCTCTCTGGGTTCCCATTTATAATATTTATTCCCTCATCTGGCTTGTAATTGTCTTACTGGGAACTCATTTTTAGCAGAGATTTCACCTCATGCTCCTGCATCCCCCATGGAACGGTGCTGTTCACTTTCAAATGTGAAAATATCCACATAGACTAATTTTATGTTTACTTCTCCTGGGTCTCATTGCTCCAGAATTAGATTTTAATTTTTCAGTCTGGAAAGTTGGCAATATGTGGGCAGTATGAATTAATATCCCTCACCATTACATACTAAAGGCTTGGAGTTTCCATGTCTGGAGGGGTAATTTTTTTTTAACTAAGAACCCGAGGAGAAATGTTATCTTGCCACATTCCCTTGCTATTAAACCAAGTTTTTGTGACTCCTTTTACACGAAGGGAACAGCCTCTCTATGGTAGCAGTATATACACAGGACCCAGTTTCAGCCATGCTTCATGCAAGCTAAGATCATTTGACCCTATGAGCCCTAGGAACACAATCCTCAGCCACTTCATCCAAATTTTATAGTCCCCCAGGGCATGTTCCTGTTAGAGTGTATGCCTACTAGTCCACCTTCCACTTTCTGGCTCTGGCACTAGGGATTCCTGTCTCACTTCGAGCTTAAGTATTTACTTTTCAACCATTTTAACTATTATTATCATATTTTATGTGCCATTCCTGTGTTTGGCAAGTGCAGCGATGTCACTTTTATCTAGGTTGTCCATGAATTCAAGGCAAAGTCTCCATGGAACAGCCAACCTGCCCCTTTTAGCACTTTTGTTCAATAATTTTGATTACTCTGCTTTTTAAAAATTTTTATTTGTTCAGTGTCCACATCATGCTCAGTATCCCTCCCCAAGCTCCCTCCACCAGATTAATACTTGACCTGGATTTCATCCTGACATCTGAAACTTTTTCTAGCTTCTTCCTTATAAAACTCTGTCTATACCCTATACCATTTTTTATGAGATTAGTTTTTGATTTTGATGAGAATAGTTTTTGGCTAATTTATGAATTCAGAAAACAGCTCAGCTGGTGCTCTCCTGAAAGCAGTTATCCAGATTTCCATGTGCTTTCCTCTATATTCTACACAAGTGAGGAGATCAAGAACTCAATACTATGTGCAAAAATCCAGCACAATATGTAAGTTCTGGGTGTCATTTGAATCAATCCCACAATCTCCATATGCATAATCAAAACTGACTGTCACTTTCCACAATAATAACTAAAATAGCTGACCATATGGGAGAATAAATGGAAAAATCTGCAAAACATTACCTCAAAGTTACACAATTGAGTTTCACACAGTTCTGACTCACCTCTACCATACCCAATCCTAGCACTAAAACCTGGAGATAATGGGTTCTTGTGTTTCTCTTATTGGACTATATCTTTGAAAATTTTTCTGTCTTCATTACAATTATATTTTTTCACTGAGGGGAAAATAAAATCTTCCTTATATTTCTGCACCCCAAACACACAAAACTTTCCCATCATAGACATGTATTATTTAGGTATCTATATTAGTCCATTCTCACACTGCTAAAAAAGACATACCCAAGACTGAGTAATTTACAAAGCAAAAGAAGTTTAATGGGCTCACAGTTCCACGTGGCTGAGGAAGCGTCACAATCATGGCGGAAGGTGAATGAGGAGCAAAGGCATGTGAGAGAGCATGTGCAGGGAAACTGCCCTTTATAAAACCATCAGATCTTGTGAGACTTATTCACTATCATGAGAAGAGCAGAGAAAAAAAACCCACCCCCATGATTCAATTACCTCCCACTCGGTCCCTCCCACAACATGTGGGCATTATGGGAGCTAAAATTCAAGATGAGATTTGGGTGGGGACACAGCCAAACCATATAATTTCACCCCGACCTGTCCTAAATCTCATGTCTTCACATTTCAAAATGAATCATGCCTTCCCAACAGTCCCCAAAAGTCTTAATTCATTTCAGCATTAACTCAAAAGTCCACAGTCCAAAGTCTCATCTGAGACAAGGCAAGTTCCTTCTACCTATGAGCCTGTAAAATTAAAGGCAAGTTAGTTACTTCCTAGATACAATGGAGGTAAAGGCATTGGGTAAATACACACATTGCAAATGGGAGGAATTGAACAAAATGAAGGGGATACAGGCTCCATGCAAGTCTGAAATCCAGTGGTGCAGTCAAATTGTAAACCTCCAAAATGATCTCCTTTGACTGCATGTCTCACATTTAGCTTACCATGATGCAAGAGGTGGATTCCCATGGTCTTAGGCACCTCCATCCCTATGGCTTTGCTGGATACAGCCCCCATCCTAGCTGCTTCATGGGCTAGCATTGAGTATCTGTGGCTTTTCCAGACACATGGTGTAAGCTGTGGGTGGATCTACCATTCTGTAGTCTAGAATATGGTGGCCCTCTTCTCACAGCTCCACTAGGCAGTGCCTCAGTGGGACTCTGTGTGGGGGATCCACGCCAAATTTCCCTTCTGCATTACCCTAAGTAGAGGTTCTCTACTCTGCCTGGACATCTATGTGTTTCCCTACATCCTCTGAAATCTAGGTGGAGGTTCCCAAACCTCAATTTTTTACTTCTGTGCACCCACATGCCCAAAACCATGTGTAAGCCACTAAGGCTTGGGGCTTTCACCCTCTGAAGCAATGGCCTGAATGCTACGTCCACCCCTTTCAGCCACTGCTGAGATGCAGGGCACCAACTTTTTTTTTTTTTTTTTTTTTTTTTTTTTGAGACGGAGTCTTGCTCTGTTGCTCTGTTGCTCTGTTTCACTCCAGGCTGGAGTGCAGTGGTGCGATCTCGGCTCACTGCAAGCTCCACTTCCCGGGTTCATGCCATTCTCCTGCCTCAGCCTCCCGAGTAGCTGGGACTACAGGCGCCCACCACCATGCCTAGCTAATTTTATTTTTTTTTGTACTTTTAGCAAAGACGGGGTTTCACCGTGTTAGCCAGGATGGTCTTCATCTCCTGACATCGTGATCCGCCTGCCTTGGCCTCCCAAAGTGTTGGGATTGCAGGCGTGAGCCATCGCGCCCGGCCAAGGGCACCAACTTTTGAGACTGCACAAAGCAACAAATCCCTGGGCATGGCACAGGAAACCTTTTCTCTCCTAGGCCTCTGAGCCTGTGATGAGACGAGCTGATGTGAAGACCTCTGACATGCCTGGGAGACATTTTCTCCATTATCTTGGCAATTAACATTTGGCTCCTCATTACTTATGCAAATTCCTGAAACCTGCTTGAATTTCTCCTCAGAAAATGGGTGTTTCTTTCCTAGCACATCATCAGGGCTGCAAATTTTCTGAACTTTTATGTTCTGCTTCCCTTTAAAACATAAGTTCCAATTCCAAACCATATCCTTGTGAATGAATAAAACTGAATGCTTTTAAGAGCACCCAAGTCACCTCTTGAACACTTTGTTGCTTAGAAATGTCTTCAGCCAGATACTCTAAATCATCCCCCTCAAGTTCAAAGTTTCACAGATCTCTAGGGCAGGGGCAAAATGCCACCAGTCTTTTTGCTAAAGCATAGCAAGAATCACCTTTGCTCCAGTTTCCAATAAGTTCCTCATCTCCATCTGAGACCATCTCAGCCTGGACTTTATTGTCCATATCATTATCAGCACATTGGTCAAAGCCAGTCAACAAGTCTCTAGGAAGTTCCAAACCTTCCCACATTTTCCTGTATTCTTCTGAGCACTCCAAACTGTTCCAAGCTCTGTCTGTTACCCAATTCCAAGGCTGCTTCCACATTTTTGGGTATCTTTACAGCAGCGCCCCACTACCTGGTACCAGTGTACTGTATTAGTCCATTCTCACACTGCTAATAAAAACACACCAAGACTGGGTAATTTATAAAGGAAAAAGAGGTTTAATGTACTCACAGTTCCACATGGCTAGGGAGGTGTCACAATCATGGAGGAAGGCAAAGGAGGAGCAAAGGCACATATTACATGGCAGCAAGCAAGAGAACATAGCAGGGGAACTGCCCTTTATAAAACCATAAGATCTTGTGAGACTTATTCACTATCACAAGAACAGCACAGGCAAAACCTGCCCCCATGATTCAATTACCTCCCACCAGGTCCCTCCAATGACGTGGGGATTATGTGAGTTACAATTCAAGACGAGATTTGGGTGGGAACATAGCCAAACCATATCAGTACTAGTTAAGTCCAGTTGAGGCAGGGTGTAACTCTGGGTGGAAATGATTCTATAAGAGCTTTTGAATTTTCTTTCTATCTCCAGTGTAGTTTAGCTTTATTAATGAAGGAATATTCATTCAAGTTGCAGGAAGTATAACTTAAGAAACAAGTGATAAATTCAGTTCAGGTATGAGACACCTAGAGGAAATTGGGTGGCAGTTGGAAGTGAAGGAGTGTGCATGAAATTTCAGAAGAGAAGATTAAGCTCAACATTCTGGTTAGAAAATCATCAGTGTATACATGGTAATTGAGGTCATGGATGAAAATAACTTATTTTCCCCATGGTAGCTTTTTACCAGTAAGTCATTAATATGTACCTTTCTTTTAAGACGTTAATATTTTTATTGGAAACATAATTATCCATAGAAAAATATAATTAATGTTTAAAATGCAGAAAACAGCAGTGGGAAATATATGGAGAACCAGATTTTTATCTCTTTAAAAATAAGATTCTATCATAAAGACAGTTGTATTCTCAGCCAATCTTTAAAGATAGACATCTGCAAGTATGACATTGATTAAATATATTTTCATAAACTAATCCACCATAATGATATTTATAAACCTGTTTCTTATTCATGATATAAGTAGAAAATAAAAAAATTGTTTGGACAAGATTTACTATAACAGAAATTTAGAAATGTACATATTTTTTAAGACTCCCCTTTTAAAAATACTTCAATTATATTTTGAAATATCAAAAATATATGCTGGGTCATGTAACACAAGATGTGGGGTTTTTTACCATTTAGTCTAATATTCACAAACAATCTAGTTGTCAATGTGGATATTGTCATTCAGGTATAAAATTAGTTTCAGTAATCAATTTTTAGAAATTTAGAGATGCTTTTAGGAAAGTATAATAAAAAATAGTAAATGGCCCACACAGCCTTTTAGAAGTGGCACATAAATGCTTACTTTGGCTTCAACATTGCATTTAAGATAGCTTAAAAAGTGGCGAAATAAAAAACATTTAGACATTACATTCATTTTCTTTTGAACACATCAGGGCGCATTTCCTAAAACCAAAGATTTTCTCTTACAAACCACAGTACAATAGTTTAAATAATGCAATTAACCTTAATATGATGTCTAATCTTCAGACCTTTTTGCATTTTTGCCAATTGCCTAACCAATGTTTCACATACCATTATTGTACAATTCTTACTGTTTTGTTTTGTTTTTGTTTATCAAGGATTGCATATTGCATTTCATTGCTATGTCTTTTTAGTCTCTTTTCATTTAGAATATTCCTCAGTCCCTCTTAGTTCATGAACTTGGCATATTTTAAGAGTATAGGCCAGTTGTTTTATAGGATGTGTCTTTCGGATGTTTATACATTTTCAGACTTATGTTATGCATAATTTTTTCAGGGATACCACAAAAGTGATACTGTCTTCTTCTTAGTGCATGGTATCAGATAACAACTGACATTATTCGTCCTATTACTGGTGATGTTAACTGTGATCACTTGGTTAAGGTAGTAACTTTACTGTAGTCATTGTATTAACCTTTGTAAGTAGTAAGCATCATATGGGAAATATTTGGATACTGTGTAAGATCCTGTTTTTCATCAAACTTGAGCATCCATTTGTTGTTTTTCTTGAAACAATTATTGCTATATTTTATATTTTATTTATTTAAATTGACAAGTAAAACGATATCTATTTATAATGTACATGATGTTTTAAAATATGTAGACATGGTGGAATGACTAGATCAACCTATTTAGCATATGTATTGTCTCACGTGCTTATTTTTTTGTGGTGAGAATACCTAAAATCTAGTCTTTTAGCAATTTTTGAGTATACAATACATTGTTATTAAGTATAGGCATCATGTTGTACAATAGAAATGTGTTAGCAGCTTGGTGCCAAAATACAACTGTGATTTCCATTTAGAACCATCACGGCGAGTAATTATTTCTAAATGAAATGTGAGTGATTTTGTTCATTGTACACATTTTTTGGTGAAGAAATAAAGTCTGGAATAACTTCTGTCTTATCTTTTGGAAACTCATATTTGGAGTATTCTAGAGGTTTCAAAGTGGTTGTTGAACTGCAAATCAAGTAAAATCATTGTTCTACATAGAGAAAAATTATTAAACCTACAAAGGCCCTATTTTGTCCTTTCAAACTATTCTCATAACTTTAAGCACAATGATTTCTGTTAATGGTGTGAGAGAAAGATTACAGAGAGGGTGCTCTAAAGGCTGGGCGATCATAAGGATATTAAAATTGTCACAATATGACCTGAATTTAACCAGTAGAAGTGCAGATATAAAAAAGCAGATGGCCTTGAGAGATTTTTAACAAGGGAGAGTACATAGAACCACGTGACTGATTGTGTGCAGGAAGTGTGAGAGAGAAGTGACTAGGTTTTGGCTCTGGGAACTTGATAGAAGGTGACCCAATGTGGGGGTGGGTTGGGAAAGATTTCATTTTGAATATGTGTTTAGATTGTCTAGGAAACAACTAAAAATATCCATAAAAAAATAAGAATGTAGGTATGGAACTCACACGAGTCTTTTATTTGTAGCTAAGTAGCAGTGTAGAACTGTGGAAATGTGGGGAAGACAGTGTCATAACAGCAGCCAAGAAGGAAAGAGAATTCCTGTGTTCTTCATGATGATAAAGTTAAATGCATTATATATTGTTTTGTAAAATAAATTACAGGTTAATTGGGATTGTGTGTTTTCTTGGAACCAATCATTTGGCTTAATATTGCGCTAATGAACAAATTACCAACTAAGTTACAAACTTACGGAACAAAATCTTTCTGTAAACTGTAGGGGCCTTCTGAGCATGAGGACATATTTGGATACACAAGTACCTAAGTGTACATTTTATGTAAGATTTTATATTTAGTGGAAAAGTTCCCAAGGAACAATATTCTTAATTCTAAAAAAGTATAACTGGAATTTGATAATTTGCAAAGCCTAAAAAATCTTACTATTTCATTTTACTGATTTGAATGTATACTTTTGTGAGAAAGTTAAAGCAAGGTAAGTAATGCATACAATTTTTATTATTGCCAAAAACAGTGTATTAAGAAAAATAAATTTGTGGAACTATAAAAAGAAACAAAATTAAGGTTAAATGTATCATCAAATAATTTCACATTTTATTTAAAGCTATCGCAGTTTGTATATTTTTTCTCTTTTTCTCATTGCAAATGTCATTTGAAAACAAGTGTACAAAAATAAAATAAACAGAAAAGGAAGTAGAAAGGAAGCTTACTACAAGAATTTTCCCAATTCATGTACTCACCTAGCAGCACTGTTTATGCATCAAAGAAAGGTCATGGCTTGTCATATTTTTATCTTAGCTGACAAGCTGTAAAAAAATCTCTTAAAAAATAAAAGTATTATAAATGTCAAACCATTCTCACCAACTTACATAGGAGGCAGTGCACTTAGTGGTGAAATTCTGTCCAGAAATGATGAAGAGATTATTCTGGGAATAATGTACAAGTCTCATTCCTACTAACATGCTTTGCTTAGAAATTTTATAGGGCTGCATACATATTTAATAATAGCATTAGAAGTCACAGGAGAGTTGAATGACCTTTTACTAACTTGAGGTGAACATTTCACAAAAGGACAGTATTCCACCAACAGGCCAATGTTTCAGATGTGTAATATCACATACGAATTTTACCCCTTTGTAAAATGCATAGTGTAAATGTTTACATAAAAGGCGGTCATTTTTCTTTTTCTTTTTTATTATACTTTAAGTTCTGGGATACATGAGCAGAATGTGCAGGTTTTTTACATAGATATACACGTGCCATAGCAGTTCACTGCACCTATCAACCCGTCATCTACATTAGGTATTTCTCCTAATGCTATCTCTCCCCTAGCCACCCACCCCCTGGCAGGCCCTGGTGTGTGATGGTCCCCTCCCTGTGCCCATGTGTCCTCATTGTTCAACTCCCATTTATGAATGAGAACATGTGGTGTTTGGTTTTCTGTTCTTGTGTTAGTTTGCTGAGAATGATGGTTTCCAGCTTCATCCAGGTCCCTCCAAAGGACATGAACTCATTCTTTTTATGTCTGCATGGTATTCCATGGTGTATATGTGCCACCTTTTCTTTATCCAGTCTATCATTGATGGGCATTTGGGTTGGGTCCAAGTCTTAGCTATTGTGAGCAGTGCTACAATCAACACACATGTGCATGTGTCTTTATAGTAGAATGATTTATAAACCTTTGGGTATATACCCAGTAATGGGATTGTTGGGTCAAATGGTATTTCTGGTTCTAGGTCCTTGAGGAATTGCCATGCTGTCTTCCACAATGGTTGAACTAATTTACACTCCCACCAACAGTGTAAAAACGTTCCTATTTCTCCACATCCTCTCCAGCATGTTTTGTTTCCTGACTTTTTAATGATCACCATTCTAACTGGTGTGAGATGGTATCTCATTGTGGTTTTGATTTCCATTTCTCTAATGACCAGTGATGATAAGCCTGTTTTCATGTGTTTGTGGGCTGCATCAATGTCTTCTTTTGAGAAGTGTCTGTTCATATCCTTCGTCCATTTTTTGATGGGGTTGTTTGTTTTTTTTCTTTTGAATTTAAGTTCTTTGTAGATTCTGGATATTAGCTCTTTTTCAGATGGATAGATTGCAAAAATTTTCTCCCATTCTGTTGGAAGTGTGGACATTTGGTATTGAGCATAAGGATCTACCTTTACTGAACATCAAAAACACCTGTATAAGACTTAACACTTCTCCCACTGACACAACAGCAGACCCATTGGCCTGATCTCCTGAGAAGTTTCCCTCTCAAAAAGCAAAGGAAGATGGGTGCTTCTTGAACCTCTCCCTACCTGCCACCTGCTACTGCCACCCGCGCACTGCTGTTGAGAGGCTGGAGGACTGAAGGTCTGTTTGCTACTCATTGCTCTTGGCAGGTCCAGGTTTCCTTTTGTGACTATCCTGTGGAGCACTTCGGTGCTCAGAGGGCAAATGTAATGTTCTTAAAATTCAACATAGCATACAAATATCAGCCAAAATATTACATATAACGAGCCAGGGACTAGGAATATAATCTCTCTATAAAAATGTAACAGGGCAGTTCGGAGATAGCTGTGCAAATGTTTAAAACAACAAGAAGATATAACAAGAGCTCTAATAAAGGTATTTCTAAATCGTTGTGGGAATATGAGGAAGGGCTCCACCTAGCACTGACTTTAGCAAAACTTCAGTAGGCTCTAAGTACTCTCTTTTGTTGGAAGCCCCAATTCAAATCATATCAAACATGTTAAAAATGTAACCATGTTCCACTAAACTTTCGATGACCCTTTGCAAGTCTGTGTACCTTTGGCATTGCACCTATAGAGCTTAATCAAAAAAACAAGCCAGTCTAATGGAGAATGAGAAAGTTGCACATAGAAAAAAATACTTGAGTCAATATTTTAAGATGGGATAGATTTTTGTAGAGCTTAAAGGAGATAAAGATACAGTTTAAAAAATGGGGACGGCATTTGCAAAGGCCTGGAGGCAAGACAAAACAAGTGTTGCATATAGGAAATACGGCAGAAAAGTAAGATTTGGGAAAGTTATCAGACAATTACTGAGGGTCTTGATGTTATCCTGTGATTGACAAGGCATTATTAAAGTATTTGTAAATAGCTAAAGGATATAAACATTTTTTTCCATTAGCAGGTCCAATCTGGAGCAATGAGGAGAATAATTTGAATTGGGATATGGGGAAAGACTGAAGATAGGGAATCCAGTGACACATAAGAAATGTTGTCCCTAACAATATCTTCAGTCCTTAGGGTCTGACACACCATTATTGGAACTAGCTGGGGGTTCCAAGTCTGGCTCAGGGCAGGTGGTAGAGCACTTTTTACAGGATTCTGTGAATGGAAATGATTTCTGGGATGTGCTTAATGCAGTAGTGAATTGGTACATTCATTGTCTGCTAAGAATCCATCTCACACCAGCTCTGATTCTGAACAGACTCCATTTGACCATTGTCTTGAAGACCACAAAATTCCAGTGTCTCTTCTTTATGAAACAACTCTTCTTCCACTTTTACTCATGCAACTATGGTTTAAGTGGAAAATTTTCCTCTGCGCTATTTCACAAAACCAGCAAAAAGCCCATGTGGCTGATTTTCAGTAGAAAGATAATTCTCATATCACTCCCCTCCTCTCCAAGGTACAGCTATGTCTCTATCACCTGAGATTGTGGCATTTGCAATTTGTGCTGATTAGCTTGTGCCTATGTGAAATGCATGTAGAGTACTTCACAGTTCGACCAGGAGCAGCAATCAGTATTTCTAATCAAAACAGCTCTCTCCAGGGCTTCCCACTGCTCGTTACCTTGAGCTTGCTGAATTATTCTGGTTCTGTAGTCAAAGTGGGAAAAGCTAAAAATCGTTGGCTTGAAATTCAGCCTTGGATTCGAGTGCGGCCTTTGACATTAAATGAATGTGTGAACTACTGTTTTTTGGGCCTCAGTTCTTTCTCCTAAAAAAAGTCACAAAAATTGTTTAAATGATGCCCAGGATTTTCCTTTCTACCCTTCTTATTATTTTATAACAGAAACTTTTTTTAACCTGACAGGCATACCCATTGTAAAGAGCACCTCCATCATTAAGACCACTTGTGGAAAATGGACATTTTAAATGTGTGTGTTTAACCATAACCATTTTGTGCTTAATTAAAATGCTAAAGATGGGATTCTTGCTTTTAAACAATGAGAACACATGGACATAGGGAGGGGACCATCACATACCGGGGTCTGTTGGGGGTTGTGGGGGCTAGAGGAGGGATAGCATTAGGAGAAATACCTAGTGTAGGTAATGGGTTGATGGGTGCAGCAAACCACCATGGGACGTGTATTCCTATGTAACGAAACTGCACGTTCTGCACATGTACCCCAGAACTTAAAGTATAATAAAAAATAAAATAGCTCTCTCCCAAAAGATGTGCAAGTGCTTTGTATTTTATTAGCCATAGCTCTAATTCTTGCCTTGTATATGAATGATGTTCCTTACTAACTAGTCTTGCTGACGTAACTGAGAGAAACTGTCTCCCTTCACCTGTTTTTCTTTCACTTTTCAATGCTATAAGCCTTTACTTAGCTACCCAAATAATGACTTTAGCTTCTGGTTTTCCCATGACTGGTAAAAACGACCAAAGAAGTTGAAGCAGCATGAGCTTTCAGAACCTTTTACTTTATTTTCTTTCCATATTAATCCAATTATTTTGTTTATAAGAAATTATTTAAATGTTATCCTAAGAAGAAATACAAATAAATTTGGTAGTTCACTGTTTTTATGCTAATACAAACATCACTTATTTGTAATGGCAATCTTAGGGTGTTTTATCTTGTGTGACATAGAATCCACTTCCCAAACACTGTCAATTCTTAATCTTATAGTGCAGGTCAGAACAACCTTTAAAAGTTCAAATATGTACTAATGAAATATAAGACAGAGGAAATGAGTCAAAGCAAATATGTAGATTTTATACCAATTTGCTATGCAAACCATCTTTAGAAACTTGAAAACAACTGAAGATCTGTGATGTCAGCTAATTCCCAAACTATCTCCATGTCACTGCTTTTGCTTGAAACTGACATTTTAAGTGATGGACTTTTGTACTATATTAATAATTTCACAATAATGCAACTGCTGGAGGTGTACCCTTTTCACTTTTTCACTTTCCATATCTACCCCTGTGAGAACTTTGTTACTAAAGATTTGAAGGCAACTATTTATTCAGGAGATTGCTAAGCTGTTCCTAAGAGCAGGTAGAGCAGGCTGTTGGAAAGCTTTCTTTCATGTCCCGTGGTATGAGTGCCACCATAAACAGACCTACATTAGTCAGTTTTCATGCTGCTATAAAGACATACCCGAGACTGGGTAATTTATTAAGAAAAAGAGGTTTAATGGAATCACAGTGCCACATGGCTGGGGAGGCCTCACAATCATGGCTGAAGGCAAAAGGCATGTCTTACATGGTGGCAGACAAAGGAGAATGAGAGCCAAGTGAAAGGGAAAACCCCTTATAAAACCATCAGATCTCATGAGACATATTCACTACCATGGGAACAGTATGAGGTAACCCACCCCCATGATTCAATTATCTCCCACTGGGTCCCTCCCACAACATGTGAGAATTATGGGAGCTACAATTCAAGATGAGATTTGGGTGGGGACACAGCTGAACCATATAAACACCCTTCTCAGTTCCCTTTATGCCAATCATCAGCGATTTCTTCATTTCCGCTCTTCATTGTCCTGGCCTTAAGATCATTTTGTAATGTATATAAATGTCTGGCTTATTCTATTCTAAATGTGAGTGAATCTTTTACAATTGAAAATTTATACGGAAAAGAGGGCCAAGATTGCAGATAATGGAGCAGAGATGGAATGTAGAGCAGCATTAAAGACACATAAGACAGAGATGGGGACAAACACATTAAGATATGTTTTCAAAGGAGGAAGAGGCCCTCATTACTCTGGCAGCCACAGGACCTGGGCTTTTATTGAGTGGTTGTGGAAAGTAAAGCTCTAACCAAGGAAGGTAAAACTCTTCTTCCCCCATTGAATTCAATGATTTAAGAGGCATAAGGTAGAATGAAGGAGAATTTCTAAGACATTTTAAAGAGAAAAATGTGGAGAAAGATAAGGGAGTAGCTGCTATGAAGAGTTTGTGGAAATAAATTATAGATAAGATTTTTACAATACTTTCTGCCTGTAATAATACAGACTTTTTAATTTGCTTCTTTCAGAGCCTCTAGTAAATACTGTTTCTTTGAATGAGAACAGCCATGATATACTCTAGCTTTTATTGGATTAAAGGTATTTTACCAGCTTTAGTTTTTTTAGTTTTAGTTTTTAGTATTTTTAGTTTTAGTTTTTCCAGTGGCCATTCCCATTACTGAATGAAGTATAGTTGTGGTTTTCTTTCACAGGACAGAATGAAGTTCATATCTACAAATAGAGATGCAACTTTTAAATTTTTTGTCTTTTGGAATGAGGGTAGAGAAACCTTCTATTTTGCTGAAAAACAACTACCAAGATTTAAACTATAGCGGGTAAAAGATATTAAGAAATTTTTATGGAAGAGGAAAAGAAGAAGGAAAAGAAGATGAAGATGAGGAAGAAAAAAGAAAAAGAAAGGACAAGAAGAAGGATATGGGGGAAGATGAATAATTATAAAGAGAAATATATATAAATATTTAAATATATCTACATTTATACATAAATATAAGTATTTATATATTTTAATATTTAATATATATTTTAAAGCTTGTGAACATCTCAGTCTACATGTTACCACCAAACTAGAGGCTTATTTATATTTTCACAAAATATAGACAAGATTTTTATCAAAACCAAAAGATGAAACAACGGAATCAAGAAGATACTATTTATGTGCAATGGTGAAATCAAAATTAAGAGAATGTTAAAGTACATGGGTGACATTTTAAGTTACATGCTAATTAGTTCATAAAATGAACCCACAAAATGAAACTCAACTATGCCCACACCATACTATCACATAAAAAACTTTTATCCTGGTCTTAATATCTTTTATGTCTCAGGTAGAACAGATAATGGCTGTTGGTTGGCATTTATGTCAACATAAATAGCTGAAAAAAAAAAAGTCCAGGTATATTTCAAGTTGTCACAGATTCCAAGGTATGGTGGCTTTCCCATTTTAGTTTTAAAGTTACAGAAAGTGAAAGCTAAATTGAACAATCTAGGCGTGTGCGTGTGTGTGTGTATATATATATATGTATGTATTTTAAATCTTAAATTCAATTTGGGATAAAAGCAAAGAATCCCATAAAATACCAAAAAGAATATTCCAATTAAGGCAATTAAGAATTGCAGGCTGGGCGAGGTGGCTCACGTCTGTAATCCCAGCACTTTAGGAGGCCAAGGCGGGTGGATCAGGAGGTCAGGAGATCGAGACCATCCTGGCTAACACAGTGAAACTCTGTCTCTACTAAAAATACAAAAAATTAGCCAGGCGCGGTGGCGGGCACCTGTAGTCCCAGCTACTACTGAGGCAGGAGAATGGCTGAACCCCGAAGGCGGAGCTTGCAGTGAGCCAGGATCGCGCCACTGCACTCCAGCCTGAGCGCAGAGCGAGACTCCGTCTCAAAAAAAAAAAAAAAAAAAAAAAAAAAAAAAAAAAAACCAGAATTGCAGAAGTCCCGTGACTGGAATGCACTTAGCACATTCTGTGAGTGATAAGAAGGCAGGTGTGATAAATAACAGCAGGGAAAGTGAAACCGATGGTGAGAATTGAGGTTGGTAGATATCCACAGCCACGACTTATACAGCCTTGTAGGTAGGACATAATAAAGTCACTGGAGTTCAACTTGAATGTGAGGGGAAATCATCGAGACTATTCTTAACAACTCACTGATGCTACCACCTTTGGATCAACTATTTCACTCAGAGAAACTCCTCCAGAAAATATCAGTGACAGACCACCCTATTAACCATATAAAGTATGAGGTCTAGCATCAACATGTGACCCTGAGACATCTTTCCATCCTTGGAAAAACAAATTAAATTACTTAATCTTTTGTAAATTTTTGTGCCATGGGTATAGAAGGTGTTTTGTTGTTGCTGCTGCTGCTGCTGCTGTTTTTCCTATCAATGCAAACGATATTTCCACTCCAAACTCTGCAGTCCCACTTGTGATGCATTCAGCTATTCAAAAAGCATTTGCTGAGCCTTCACTTAGTGACAGATGCTGTGCTAAGCTCTGGGTATAGAGCACTGACCAAAATAAGCTTGGCAGCTGATGTCAGTAAACTACTCTAGTGGCCCTTAAAATCCAGGAATCATTTACAAGCTTCACAATGGTTGATACCTGCCACCACCTAATTAGAGACAAAATATCTATATCTACTTACTTAGCTTACTGAGTTTTGTATAAACGCATTTTAAAGACTCATCCTATCAAAGTTATTTCAGTATTCATTGTTTTAATTAACAAGATAATCACATCTTCAGATATTAAAGTACAGCATTACAAATGGGAAAATGCTAAGCTCAGTTAAAATAGAAACTACATGATAGCTGGAAGATTTTCTGTAAGCTTTGAGGAACAGAATGTATAATGCATCAGTGGCAAACCAACCTATATTTGAATTGCTAACTTGTTTCCTCAGGAACATTTCTTCACTCCACCAGGAGAGGGAGGTTTACTAGGGTGAGATTTTTACAACCGGAAGTCTTGTGCAGTGTCTCCTCTCTCAGGATTTATGTAGAAATAGGTCATGCTATTTTATTTCATTACCGTCACCAGTTATTGCCATTATTTATTTTTAACAGGTGTGTTAGATATATATTTGATATACAATAAATTGCAAATATTCAAAATATACAAACTGACATTTTGACATACATGTGCATATAAGAAACCATCAACTTAATCAAGGTAATAATAATAAAGGTGTTTTTACACTACCTCCCCAAGTGTGTCCCATTCTGCTATGTAATTCTGCTTTCTACCCATTCCTGCCCCTTACCCCTTGTCACATGAAAACCAATGATGATCTGCTTTACGTTACTATAGATAATTTGGATTTTTAGAAATGTATATGAATGGAATAATAGAACATATACTTATTTTTGTCTGGCTTGTTTTATTCAGCATAATTATTTTAATATTTCCGTATGTTATACATTTCAAAAGTCCATTCCTACTTATTTCTGAGTCATATTTCAAATTATGAATAGTTTACAGCTTATTTATTCATCTTCTAAGTACTTCTTAGCTGCACCCCACAATTTTTTCTTTGTATTTGTATTTTATTGTTTTTCTCATGTAAAGAATAACTTTATACAAAATTATTGAACATAACATAATTTAAAGTTAAAGTACCTTTAAATTTTAAATTTACCTTTTGACTTATTATTTGGCCCATGGGTTATTTAAAAGTATACTATTCAGTTTTCAAATATTTGGGGATTTTTTTCATGTATCTTTCTCCTGTTAATTTTAACTTTAATTTCATGGTGATAAGAGAACAGACACTGCATGGCGTGAATCCACTCAAATTTTTGAGGCTTGTTTTATGGTTCAGACATGGTCTATACTGGTAAATGTTCATGCCCTTGAAAGGAATGTACATTCTGCTGTGTCAAGTGAAGGGTTTTTAAATGTCAACTAGACAATTTGGTTGCTATGCTGTTCATGTCTTCAGTGTCCTTACTGACATTTTTGTCTGCTTATTCTGTTGGATTTTTAGGATTTGTCTATTTTCCTTACAGTTCTATCCATTTTTGTTTCATGTACTATGATGCTCTGGTTTTAGGCATACAAACTTTTAATATTAATATGTTTTCTTGGTGAATATATCCCTTTATCATTATAAAGTTATGCTTTATATGTCTGCTAACATTTTTGCTTTGAAATCCACTGTGTCTGATTTTAGCACAACCATTATAGATTCTTTTTGGTTAGTGTCAGCATGGTATACCTTTTCCCTTCATTTTATTTCTAATCTATTTGTGTCTTTGCACTTAAAATGTACGTTTTGTGAGCAGCATGTAGTTGGGTCTTGCTATTTTATCCGATATGTGAATCTCTTCCTTCTAATGTGATTACTGATAAGGTAGGGTTAAAGACTACCATCTTTCTGTTTTCTATTTGCCCCATTTATACTTTATTCACTTTGAGCAATATGATTATGATGTGCCTGGATGTAGTTTTCTTCATGTTCTATGCCTGCTTTTTAGTTTGGTTTTCCACTTCTTGAACATGTGAGTTTATAGTTTTCATCAAATTTGGGGGTAAAATGGCCATTATTTCTTCTAATTTTTTTTATATTCCTCTGTGTCCTCTCCTTTTGGTCTCCATGTCCTTCACACTACTCTCCAAAATGTGTCCAATTCTGATTCAGACACATTTTAAGAAGAATGTTCATCTGCTTGAAATTGACCCAGATTTCACTGATGTTCATTCTATCTCTTTAAGTTCGTATTTTTTTCTGCAATGTCTGTTCTGCCATTAATGACTTACACTGTAGTTTTCATCTTAGGCATTATGGTTTTTATATCTAGAAGTTTGATTTTAATTTTTAAGATATTTTCCCTGTCTCTACTCAACATTTTAATCTTTCCTCTAGATCCTTCAATATATAAAATAGTTATAATAACTGCTTTAATGTTATTCTTTACTAACTCTATCATACTGTGCTGATTTTAATTTAATAATTTTTTCTCCTAATCATAAATAAAATTTTCTTGTTTATTTGTGAGTTTTGTAATTTTTGATTGGATGCCAGACACTGTAATGTATCTTGTTGTACGTTAAATATTTTTGTATTACTGTAAGTAGGCTTATTCTGGAAATGGTGAAGCTACTGTTAAATATTTTCATCCATTTAGACTTCATTTAAGGATTTTTAGGCATTACCAGAGGAGCAATAAGTTTACAGGTAATTTTGATTCACCATTGGGACAATATCCTTCTGATTAACCAGTACCCATAAATTATAGTCCACCCTTTGCCCCTCCTCAACCATGGTTAGTGGATACAGATGCTATTCCCAGCCCTGTGAAAGATCCAGGGACTGTTCCCTCTAAGTCTTTTGAGTGGTTCTTTCCCCAGCTTCAGGTAATTTATCCAAAGACGTCTTTGATCAGCCCTCAGCTGAATATTCAAGGGGGACCTTCTGCGATTTTCTGGAGGTAAAGCTTTCTTCTCTCCACTACACTAAACTCCTTAATTTTTCCTAACTCTCAGCTCTATTTCCCCAACTCAGAAAGACCAATAGACTTTGTCTGAGTTCTTCTCCCTGCTCTGTTATAGAAACTTACTCCAGGAAGTAACTGCAGGGCTCACACCATTTGTTTCCTCTCTCTCAGTAATTATTTTCCATCATTGTTTAACATCCAGTGTCTAGAAAATTATCATTTCATTTGTTTTGTCTAGTTTTTAAACTCTTTCAACTGGGAGGACAAATATGACCCCTCTTGCTCCATTTTAGTAATAAACAGAAGTTCAGGGTCTGCTATTTTTAGTAAATACTATTTATGATATTTAAATATCTATGTTATTACATATAAAACTGCTTTTGTATAAAATAAATAACTGAGAATAGACCACAAAATCGGATTTTAACAAAAAATAATAAATGATAATGATTTGTAATTTTTCAACAATTGAAATTATGAGCCAAAGGGACATTTTATTATGTACTTCTTAATTTTTAATTCTATGAAAATATTTTTCTCTTTCTTTAATATTTTATTGATGAACTCATGATTGAATAATAGTGACATTTCATTTTGAGGAAAGTTTGAAGTGTGACTTTGAAAATCTTATTATATAAGTTAAATATTTCTTCTAGGTGTAAAACTTCATGGCCCCCAAGATAGCATGTGGGTTTAGATGCTTCCCTGAAGTGTTCATTGTTTGGTTGAAGGGCTAGCTGCTGAAAATTACCAGAAGAACTGCCAGATGCCTGTTGCCTGGCAACAGGTATTGGGAGGACAGAAAGTTCCAGTTCTGTCTCCTCAGAAATCCTTCTTTGGAGAGGAAAAGCTCGCCTAGCAAAAGAAAAACTTTATACAAAATTATTAGTGAACATAACATAATTTATATACTCCTGTACAGTGCTGCTGCATGCATACATTCCAGGAATTGTCAAGAAATGTTTTGTCTATGTGTATTAGATGCCATTCTATGCATTAGAGAGAGAAAAAGTAGAGCAGATACCTTCTCCTTGAGGAGTTTGCCATCTGACATAAAGTTTGTGCAATCCTGTGATAGTATCTTCATGAAGATGTTTCCATTTTTTAATTACAGATGCTTTTCAAAATGGGTTATTTATTTTACCTATAGAATTTTATTTTTTCACACAATAAATTACTGGTAGATGCCCCCACCGTTAAAACTAAATTGTCTGCATGAATATCAGAAGGACGTTTAAAAAATCTGATTATTAAGTTTATTAGAATACTAAGGTTAAATCTTTCCAAATTTTTCCCCAAAAGCATTTTTCCTCTCCTATATGGCATTTCCATTTTTCACTTGATTTTGATCTGCACAGATATAGTATAGAAACATGTATAATTCCATGGCAAAAGTTATACTGAATCATTTAGCGAGTTTTATTTACCATACCTCAATCAATTAATAATTGTGAATCACAAGGCATCAGAGAGTTTTTCTCTTGAGTTCAGGATCTTTGCAACATTTGTACTTGGATATCTCAAAGTCAACTCAAACCCAGTATTATAGGAACTAAACATGTAGTATCAATCCTTAAACTTGACCCTATCAAAAGATAGGCAGTTCCATCTATTCTGTTCTAGAAGCCTGTAAACTGAGAGTTCTTTCTGACCTAACATTCTCCTTCAACCCCCAAATGTAATTTATACACCAAGTCATCAGATTGGCCTTAGCAGTATCTGCTACCACTCTTTATTATAACACTACCCTAGCTCATGTTATCACCACCCCTGTTTCTTCAAACACGGTTTTTACCTCCTCCAATCTGTTCTGCACATTTCAGAGCAATCTTTTCAAAAGAAATCTAATCATGTGTTATAGCCCCACATACACCAGATGGTTAAAACAATTCTGCTTCTTCTAATGTTAGGTTAAAAAACCAAAATCCTTGCCATGGCCTACAAGCGCTGTCAAAAATGCTACCTCTACCATTCTATCCTTATTCTTATGCTGAAGCCACACTGAACTTCTTTAATTTCTCAAATTGGCCTTAATTCATAGGCCTTTGAAGATGTTCTGTTTTCTGTTCATAGCTTGTTTTTTCACAACTAGCCTCCACTCCATATAATTAATTTTTTAATCACTACTCATCCTCAGACCTCAGTTCAATGGTCATTTCCTCAAGAAAATATTTACTTCTCCCCTAAACTCATCTAAGCCTTGCTATTATGTTTTTTCATAGCACTTTGTACTTATTTCCATAGTACTTGCCATAGTTGTAAGTTTTATGACTTCCCTTTTCCAATAGACTAATAGTTTGTAAATTAGAAAAAGTACCAGTAAAGCCACATATTTCTATGGCATTGTACATCTTAAAGCATACCCTTCTACATCATCTTTTCTCATATGAGTCTCTTGAAGACAGCAGATTCTTGATTCACTCACTTGTATTCTCCATTTTGGTGATAATAGTAACACAATTACTTGTGTTACTATTTAAGGTTTCTTATTTCCCAAATGAGCATGTAAGCTTCGAGGGGAAGGAGACGACATGACAGTGGGAATGAGACAACCCAGCAGCAACTTACACAGAATGATAAGTGAGGACCAGGGGCAATGAAGGACTCTGATTGGATGCTTCCATCATAGATGCAGTAAGTAAGAGATGCTCCACAGCCAGCACTCAGTGGCTTGCTGCTACTAAGGCTGCTCCCCAAGTACAAACACCGTCCTGGGGATTCGGCAAGAAAGCCCTGAATTGACTGGGATTACATTTCTGTACCTGGTTAAATGGGGCTTCTAAAGATAAATAAAGTTGATTTATGAAAAAATTGGAAAGAGAGATTTCTTACAAACTGATATCTACATATTCTGAAATTCATGTCTATTGTGTCTTAATTATAGACAATAACACAAATAATAAAGTTCCCAATCATTCAAGAAACAAAAGAAAAATAAAGTAAGGTATCAAATTTTATACTTTTTCTCCTTCTACCCCTTTTCACTTCTTCCTTTCTAAATACTAGAGGAAAGAAGAAAACCCGGCAGTCTCTGTAGTCATGAAAACTTGCTAGAGTTGGCATATAATGCTTTTTCATCTTGTAACTGGAGGTTCACTAATTCCTGGTTAGGGAAATGGCAAATGCAGACTTTCAGCTCTGATTCCCTCTTACGCCATTTAATGACGTCCCTGCTGTGTTTAGTTATGTAAATACTGTTATTATAAAGTCAATTGTGGCTGTGTTTTCATAAATGCAAACACAATGTCTTTATCACAGCAAACATCTTTAGAGTGTTTCAGTTTTTTCTTTGTTGGTATTACTGTTATTTATGTAAAACAGAAAAATTATATGGGGCCCTAGGGGAAGACAGAGAGAATCTTTTAAAATATCAAGTTCACTGTAATTATTTAGTACTTCCAGGCCAAAGAAAAAGTAAGTCAATAAGTTCAGAATTGCTTTCAGATAAAGATCTATTAGACACAGGGAAGTTTCATTGAGGTCATTTATTTCTCCTATAACACTTATTGCTCTAAATTTCCCCCCTACTTCTTTATATTTTGCCAATTATTATTATAGAAAACTTGTAGCTGTCTTATTTAGATTAGTTTTAATCTTAACATTCATTGGTTTAACAAATATTTATAGAACACCTATGCTGTATTAGGCATTGGTTACATCCTGAGGATACAATGGTAAGAAGATAGAAACTCAGAACAGAAAAAAAGGGTTCTATAAAAGTCATATGTTTTGCATGTCTGTGTTATTGGCCTGTGATTCTTATCTCCTACAAAGTTGATGTGAGTTTGAGATTGCTCTCTCTGTCTGCAATATTAACTGATTAAAACTAGACAGCCTCGTGATCTTTAGGGAACAGCTGAAATCTGTGGAATAAATGGTCTACAAATATGATAAGGAGCTCATTTCGTGTTTCACAGTATAAGGGTGCAAAATAACCTTTCACTGGGGCTTTGTTTATGAGGAAATGACATCTCTGCAAAGAGAACCTACAGCTAGTCATGCTAAAGTTAAGAGAAGTTTGGGGTGTTTTTGGCAGCCAGAAAAGGGCTCAAGAGTTGATTCATGATAGTCATAAAACTAAATGTCTTATTTGCATCTATTTCTCTTTTTGCTAGAAGTTACAAGAACTATTAAATAATTGTGCATAGGAAGAAGTCATAACAAGATTTAGATTTAGGATGAAGGGCCATCATTTGCTGCCTTTAAGCAAAGACACTTCTATAAACATAAAGGCATCTGTACTTTTATTCAGGGTCTACTAGAAGTTTATCTCAGTGTAAGCGAAGTTCTCACTGATCCTTAGAGGGAAAGGTATGAATGAAACCTTTTTGGAGAAAATTTAAAAATGATTTCTTAACTTGCCTATTGTCTACATTTAGTGACCAAACTGCAAGCTATCCATCAAATCCTTTTTTGCCTTCTTCATGAATACATAGCTTCCCAGTTTATATATTCAACCTGTCTTTCAGCTAGTTCTTGTCATGTGCCAGTTTTCTCCAATAGCATATGAGTTAAGTGGCATGTGAAAAACTTCTTCACTTCTTATTAGAAAATTGTTGCCTGTAATTTCTTTCCACTTCCCTTTCCCATGAGCTAGAATGTAAATTAACCCATTATCCCCTTTAATCAGGAAAGCAAGCAACTGGGAAGAATGGTGCCCAATAAGGAGAAAGGCACCTGAATCTTTGGATGATCATTTGGAACAAGGCAACCCCTGACCCCAGAAAACTGAAATTTTCAATCTGAGACTATTACATGAAAGAAAAATAAATTTCTATCATCTTTAATATATAATAAGGATATGCTTAACTGTTTCATGTTTACTGTAACTAATTCATTTAAGTGTATCTGATCTTTAGGGGCCTAAGAAATGAACTATTTGCTCAGCAGTTGATGGGGAGCGTGCGATGACACGTATAGCTTTGTTGTTTCTGCTGCTGTTTGTGAGAACAAAAGATTTGCTAATTTATTAGTTATTAAGTTATTATTTCTCAGCTTCAAGCCCACCTTTCTCTACCCTGCTTTTGCTTGCTGGCTATCTGCAAGGCACATTTCTCTTTTGACAGTTGGCTTAATGTTAGGTTCTGGCAAGAGTTGCTTAGAACATTAGAAGGCTAGAGAAAGAACGAGACATTGCTTTTTCCTTTCTCTGTTTGAACTTTCTGCTATTGTCGGTGTCACTCCAGCAAGGCTTCTTTTTCACTAGGAAGTGTCTCTTTGTTCCATTGACAACTTCTGAATTTAGTATGCAGTTTTCCAACACTTGCAACCAAAATTACCACTCCCCAATCAGAGATACCAGCACCAGAGAGCTGGCACCCACCTCAGACGTCTCATCCCAGCCCCATAGTACCCCCTCCTCTGAGCTCATAGACAGCACCTCCTCCTCAGAGGTCTGGGTTCAAGGATTTTCTTCTAAGCTTCTAAATCTAAATATTAATAATTCCAAACATTTCCAACCCCTTTCTCTCTTTCTTTCTTTCTTTCTTTCTTGATTGCTTGCTTGCTGGCTTGCTTCTTCTTTCTTTCTTTTGAGGACTTCTTTCTAAGCTTCTAAATATTAATAATTCCAAATAATTCAAACCCCTTTCTCTCTCTCTCTCTCTCTCTCTCTCTCTCTTTCTGACAGGGTTTCACTCTATCACCCAGGCTGGAGTGCAGTGGTGTGATTTCGGCTCATTGCAACCTCTGCCTCCTGGGTTCAAGCAATTCTCCTGCCTCAGCCTCCTGAGTAGCTGAGATTACAGGCACCTACCACCACGACCGGTTAATTTTTGTATTTTTAAATGGAGATGGGGTTTCACCATGATGACCAGGCTGGTCTCAAACTCCTGACCTCAAGTAATCCACCCGCCTCAGCCTCCCAAAGTGCTGGGATTACAGGCATAAGCCACAGCGTCTGGCCCTTAGACGTGGGAGCAATTAACTACTTCCTGCAGCTGCTAACTTTATGATATTTTTGTGACCAATCTTTGCCTTTGCAATTCTCTAATAGCTGATTAAGAACTTCTTCTATGAAATTCACTGTTAAAATAAATGGTGTGATTGCTGTTTACTGATTATATATAGTGTAACTGATATCACTGAAAAAAGAATAAACACATTGTAACATTACTGATATCTTAGGCCATCATTTTACCCTTTAGTTCCTCCTTCACCCCTGCCCCCGACCCTTCCTTCAATTCAGTATTTTAGTTTAAACAATAATTATTGGCTCAGAAAATAGATTTCATAACAGAAAGCAGAGAAAATGAAAGTAAATAATTGGCACTTATGGGACAAATGAAAAAGCATATATTAACATACTATGAAA
The DNA here is from genome assembly GCF_000001405.40 of Homo sapiens. Lineage (NCBI taxonomy): Eukaryota > Metazoa > Chordata > Mammalia > Primates > Hominidae > Homo > Homo sapiens. The sequence continues at coordinate 33,597,158 of NC_000012.12, read as the reverse complement.
AATACCTTATGAGTAACAGTTAATCTGCTGGTCAACACTAAACAAAAGAGTAAAATTCAATCACAAACACAAATGCCTACACAGGTCAAGCAGTTACGGTAGATGAGTGAAGCAGACCAGATGTGTGGGGAAAAGCAGCAGAAAAGTGACAGCAGATGACAAATGACACATATCCTCAGCCTCGGGGGCCAATACAAATGGAAGTGTCAAAGTCAAAATAAAAACGTAAAGCTAAATCTCTACAATGAACGTTTTATTTGAAAAGCAAGAATTGCAATTCAGGGTTTACACACAGACCCAGTGGTCTTCTATACGTCTGAAAGACAAAGAGAAGGTTGTGGGGGGCGGCTATAAAAAAGAGAAATGTTACATGTTGTCTTAAAAGAAAGTTCATTGGTATTAGTAAAATCTTGAGGAGCTGCTCTGATTGGTGAGTAATTGACAGTAGGTATAATTAGTCTAAAGAGTCGCAGCAGGTTGTTTCAGAGCTATTAGACGTAACTGGTCTCAGATTACAACAAGAAGTTTCAGCATCTTGGCTTGCAGAGAATTACATTTTTGGAGCAATGTTATGTGTCCTGAGCCCTTTCTCCTCCCCAACCGCAGCATCTCTACTCTATTTTAGCTGGGTATGACAAGAATGACCCAATTTGTATAATCAACCTTCACAGAAGCAACTATGAATAACTGGACAGTGTCAACCCATTAAAAGACAAGACACCATTTATGTCCAGGCAATTACTGCCACATGGAAACAAAGATCTATTGGTTCCAAAATGCTGAAGACTGCAAAAGAAGCAAGAACTTTGAATTCTCCTGAAGTTTTCTCGTTTGTAAATGTCACTCATTCAACTTTTGAAACAGCACTGTGAGGGCCAGATAAAACATGGCTTTAGGCCTGATCTGACTCATAGGTACCAACTTGCAACTAATGGGGAAGAAATTGTGTAAATCCCTGGAAACTGAGATCTCATCAAGCCCTAGGAGTGGATAGCAACAGAAATTCTTGGGAAGTTTGTGGACTTGGAGAATAGAGTCTTATCCCTCACTTCCTGAGTAGATTTAAGGGAGGCTTCAACACTCCAGAGTAAAAATGTCTGGATAGTGTGTTTAGGTAAAATACATTTAGGAAGGGTCCGAGAGGTTCCTACAGGAAAGTACAGTGACTCGTGTGCCCCTGGAATGTCACTCAAATGACGAAGGACTTGAGACAGTTCCACAGATTTTTGGGTCAAAGCGTGGCAGGAACCAGCAGAGTCATCTGTACACAAGTTAAGAATCTGAGGGAAACTCAGAAAATTTAACAGACTGTAATAGCAAAAATGATGAACAATGCAACAATAAACTAAGTGGACAAAAAAATTTTAAAAAGCACAGAAATTAAGAAATATTATTGGATGCCACCATGGATTACAACACCAAAATCTGAATGCTTCTCACCCATGACAGCTTGGTTATATAAGACCCTAGAAAATGAGCTGCAACTCCATGCAAAACAGGGTCTCTGAATTAAATGAGATTACACTTCTGCCACCTTGCAGGAAGGCAGCTAATTGTTAAAAATGCAATGGCATTAGGAAAATAAAGAGAGTTATGATATTGCATACCTAAGTTTGCATTTTGAGATTTGCATCTGTGACAAACTGATTGGAGGTAAAAACTTGGCTTCCTTATTTGTTCTGAAAAGAGTGAAGATTCATTTTTAAAAGATTTTCTGCTGTTTACTTTCAAATTTATATCTCTATCCCTGACCTCTCCTGTGGGCTCTAGATTCTTAGCTCTAATTACCTTATTTGACATCTTGATTTTGTCTCATACGTCAGTCCTTATGTGACTGAAGTCAAACTTCATCCTGGAAGTAACTTCTCCCAAAACCTACTCCCTCTCTCAGTAGGAATAGAACTGATGGATTTCAGGAATAGAACTGATGCAGGACATGTGAGCCCCAAACTGGCACTTAGCCCTCAAGGGTTCATGGCATCATTCACGAAAGAATTCAAGGGTTAGCCCATAGCAGTGTAGAAGAAAACAGCTGTATTGAAGCTGCAGTGTTACAGCTTTGCGACTGCTCCTGCAGAGCAGGGTTACCTAGGCAGTGTGCTGAGAGTAGCAGCTCAGGGCAGTTCTGCAGTCATATCTATACCTACTTCTAATTGCCTACAGATTAAGGGATGGTTTATGCAGGAATTTCTAGGGAAAGGGTAATAACTTTGGGGTCATCACGTCATTGCAATGGAAAGGGGCAGTACCTCCCAAGTATTGCCACGCGATGGTAAGCTAACATGTCCCACTGGTGGTCATGCCTTATGGAAAGCTGCTTCCGCTCCATCCCTGTTTTAGCTAGTCCTCAATTTGGTCCCATGTCTGAGCCCCACTTCTGGAGTCGAGTCCACCTCCTACTTCAAAACATTCATACATAGTTGCTCAGGTCAAATTTATTGTTTTCTTTTTCTTCCAATCAACCCCCACCAATTCAGTCCAATAATGATTCCTGTGGGTTTTACCTCCAAAATGTATCTAGTATCTGTCCACATCCCTCTATTTTTTAGTATGACCACCCTCCATAAACCTCCTCATTGGACTACTGCACTAGCTCCCTTATCAGTAGAGTGCTGTAAGCAGCCCATATCAACTCATGAAAACAAATTATTAAATTTTCAAGAGTTTGCCAAGCCAATATATGTCACATTGGTAGTTTGAAATTGGCCATGATTTGACATATTAACACCACGGAAATCTGTAATCAAACCAGTGATCTTTCTCCCCTCCAGAAAGAGTGTTTTAAAACATCACCAGCATTATCACTGCTCCTGTTTCTACATTTGCACCACTACAGTCCATTTACCTCACAACAGCCTGTGTAATCATTTATAACAAATGAAACCTTTCTTGTCTCAGCCCTGTTTAAAATCCTCTAATGGTTTCCCACTGGGCCTACACATAACCCAAATTCTTACCAAGGCCCAAGAAACTCTGTATGACTTATTTTCTCCCTACCTCTCTGATCCCCAACTCATACCACTCCCTGCCTCACTTCCTACACTTTGGATAGGCTGGCCTTCACTTTGTTTCTCCAGAGCATCAAACTATTTCTGATTTGGAGTCTTTACATTTGCTGTTCTCCCTTCTTGGAATGGGCTTCACTTATATCTTCATGTGGCTTGTTCCTTCTTGTCACTCACATCTGTTAACATGTCACTTATTCATCCAGGACTCTCTGAACTGTCTCATCCGCCTTCATCTACAGCATGCCTTATCACATCTTTCTATTAGTTCCTCATAACCCTTATCACTATTCAAACTTGATTTTTTTTGCTATTTGTCTCTCTCATTAGACTATGTTTTATAAGAGTAGGTAGCTGTTTTCCTCACTGCCCTTTCCTCATACCTAACAAATGATTGACAGTTAAACATAACCTTGAACACTGTAAAAATCTTCTATTTTTACCCAGGATCCCATTATTGATCAAAAATTGTTGTTTTGGATTCACTGTATGTGTGTTTATAATCCCATCAAACTTAATTTAGGAAAATCAAGGCATCCTGAGTAATTAACCATGTTTTTCCTCCACAAGCATAAAAACTCATTGAATAGTAGTAATCTTTTAGTAAAATACCAAGTTCTACAAAATCAGAGCCTTGCCATACTAAGCCCCTCCACAAATCCAACATAGGATAAAAGGCTCATAGAAGCTTTGAAACATGAATGTGGCATTTACCACTCTGAACTATAATTTATCTCTTGTTGTATTATGTACAACTTCCCCCAGGGCAGGGTTCATGCTTTTAATCATTTTGTATTCCCATTCCTGACTCAATCCCTCCACATAGTAGTGTTCCATAAATGTTTGTGGAAATAAATTTTGTTTGATGATTAGGGTTGTTTGTGGAATTTATTGGAACCCAGATTTATAGAGCACTTTGTCTTATTTTGGAAATGATTCTATAACTGAGAAGCAGAGCAATGTATCAAATCAAATAGACAGAAGAGGAATGATTCTGGCTGTTAACAAAGAGCTACATTACACAAACTGAATGTATGTTTATTAGAAGTGAAATGGAAAATTAAATTTATGTAATCCTTATTTAGAGGTTATTCTGCTTTTTTCTGAAATTAGAAGCCTAAAATCATAATCAGCAATAGAAGATGATCATAAAAATGTCATCTAAGGTGGCTGGATCGACAGGAAAACTTTCTCATTTGCAGAGTATTGCTATGGGGCTGGAGGCTGGGGCTGATTTGAAGGGTACAAGAGGTAGCCAGGTTTAGTGTTTTGTGTAGGGAAAAAAGAAAAGAAAAGAAAGATCTTGGAAGGAAGCAGACTGAAGAGGGACAGGTGAAAGGTTCAAGGAGGATTTTCTAAGTTGTTTTCCATACAATATGAGATGAAAATCTTGCATTTCAGCAATCCATGTAGAATTTTTCTTACACTTCAATTTGCTCACTAATGCTTTTCAGATAGTAGATTACTTGGGGGAGGGTAATATTAATATATATATAGGTTTTATTACTCTATATAGATTCAGTAACTAGAAACAGTTTTCTTTACTCAAAACCTAGACAATAACTGGTAACACTTCCCCCACCCTCCCATTTCCTTCTCTGTTCTCCTGGATGACACCACTGATGTGGCTCTGTGAAGAAGGGCAATAATCTCATGTCTCCAAATCCACAGATGACTTCCAGGGCATTTCCATTTGATATTGTTGATTGCTGTCTTCATTCCTACACTCCCTCCTTTTGATTTTTATTCACCATACTCGTGTGTGTGTGTGTTTGTGTGTGTGTGTGTGTGTGTGTGTATGTTTTCTCTCCTATAATACTAGCCTCTATTTTTCAGGTTCTTTTGCTGACAGCTGCTGGTTTAGAGAGCATACACGGTCTCACATTACTCTTTAAATAAAGGCCAGAACCTCTAACATGGCCAAGGAAGCCCTCACATCTGGCCCATAACTATCTCTGAAGGCCAACCGTCCTTGACTTTCCACCTTGCTCTCTATCCTTCTGCCATTCTGGCCTTTTAAACCCTTTAAATATCTTCACATTGCTTCTTGGCACAATGGTCTTTACCTGTACAGTTTCTTCTACCTGGAATGCTCCTTCCTTTACCCTTCACCTTCACCTATTTGCCCTCTATTTATTCTTAAACCTCAGCTCAAAAATTGATTCAGCAGGGAATTCTTCTCTGTCCCTACAGTCTAAAGCAGCTTCTTGTGTTATATGTTTATATATTTCAGAGCATGTCCCTCAGTTTATAACGGCATATTTATTAGCATGACAATTTGCTTATAGGGCTGACTGCCCCACTATGTTAAAAGCTTCTTGAGAGAAACAGTGTCAGTTTGGGATCATCATTTTATCTTATCACCTAGATAAGTGATTGACACATAGTAGGTGCTCAATAAAAAGTTGAATTGATTCAGTGCCTGTAGTCTTAATCTTACTGGATTTTTAAGAAGCATACCTTTCGGCTTCAAAAACATAAAACACCCAGTTCTTCCCCCAGCACCCTGACCTCTTATTCTGAGTCTCTAGCATGTTCATTTTCTTTTTCCCTGATCTTTAAATGTTTTAGCTTCTCATGATTAGGTCCTTAGTCCTTTTCTTTTCTCATTCATTACTCTTTCTAAGATGATTTAATTTAATTTAATGGATTCAGTTCCCACCCTTAGAAAGATCACCCTCAAATATATCTTTCTCACCTAGCCAAGCTTCTTCTATAAGCTCCAGATCAATTTACTTAACTACTGACTTCACCTTCCTAACTGAATATTACAACAATAAATCAAACGTAACATGTCTAAGATTTGCCTCATGGTTTTTCGGCTATAAACCTAGTATTTCTCCAGAAATCCACCTAACTGTACTAGCCAAAAGCATGTAAGATATGCTTATGGAAATAACTGCAAATATCTTTAGTTCTGCCTTGATTTAAATTATAATTGACAACAGAGGCCAGAGAATGGGATGAAAATTATTATTGACACAATTGCTTCTGAGTGTGGAAAGCACTAGCTAGCTATTATCCCTGACTTAGCTAGAAAAGCAAGGTAGTAAATACTTATGCTTCCTTTGTAGTCCTTATAGATCTGCACATTTAAAAAATATATTTTGATACTAATCATTTGTCAGTTGTGTGTAGTACATGACTTGATATTTGTCAGATTTATTGAATGATGATTTGTGAGTTTATGAGATAGCTTATGAGAGTTCCATATAAATTAAATAGTAATAAATAAGAATGATTACAGTCAGGAGTAAGTATATATAGAGAGAGATATATACAGATATTTATATATATTCCTTAGGTAGTTTTACAGGTGGGTTAGGAAAAGTACAGTCACCCTCAACTTCTCTGGATAACAAAGAATTTGATTATTAAAAATAGTCACTTACCCAAGATGAATATTTATGACAGCAAGATCACATGATTTTATTTCATTTACAACTCAGGTTCCTCTTAGAAAAAAGTGGATGGGAAAGGCCCCACTCCCTTTGAAAGAATGAGATCATTGTATTTAATAAGATCTTTCAAAGAGAGCAAGGAAAATGAAAAGCAGGAAAACATTGCAGGGCAGAAACACCTGGCTATCTTGGCCACACTCCACTTCATTCTTTACTCCAATGCACATGCCTATGTGTTTGTCCTGCCCTTTTCAATAAATGAAGAAGAATAGGTCCACTTGGTTACAAACCCATGAACTCTTCAGCTTTCACCTGTTCTGATTGTTTCTGTGCTTTGGGGAAAGGGGCGTGTTCTGCCCTTTTCCAGGTCCATGTAAGTGTCACAGAGTTCTTGTTAATCATCATTACAAAGTTTGCCCTGTCTTCTGAGGAAAAAAAATCAAATTGAAAAACCTTAAAAGTGTCAAAAATAAATTGTAAATGTGATCATGGTTGTTTCAAAATTTCTGAACATTTTCAGAGCTTTAATATAAAAGCACCCTAAGGCCATCAAATTCAAATTAATCAAAGCCTTTGCAAAGTTTAGTGCTCTATGGTCGAAGGAGTAGCAGATTCTAACATTAATCCACAGGCTTCTAGGAAGCTGATGGAAAAGAATGAAGCCCCATGTAGCTAGGTCTGCTTCCTGCCATTATTCTGTGGTGGAGAGGAAGCAGGGGTTCTCTGTGTGGATCCTTTGCAAGGAGGACCCATTAATGAAGGCAAAAATGAACATGGCTGGCGTGAGGTGGCATATGAAAAAGAGGAACTACAGAAATTTTCACACTTCCAAATGTGTTCCATGTAAAGGGCTACCTTATCTGCAGGTTCATTTTATAGTACGGTGTCATTAGTTATCACTCACTTGGCTCTCCTGCTGCTTCACACATTGTTCCTTACCCATTTCCTTTGGTGTTTCATCCTCCTCTCCCTGACTTTATGAGGTTGGAGTAGGCCAGAGCTCTGTCTTTGCTTTTCTTCTCTTCTTTATGCTCACTCTCTGTGTGGCCTCCTTCAGGCTCATGGGTTTAAGTGCCATCTATTGTGAATCTCCAGTCGAAAATGCTCCCCAACAATAGAGATTTTTTTATTTAACTGCCTACTGGAATCTCTACTTGGGTGTCTAAATACATCTCAAACTCAGAAAAATCCAAACTGAGCCTCTGATGCCCATGCCTCTGTCCCCTGAGGTGTCTCATACAGCCTTTTCCATCACTATTGATGGTCACTTCATCTTTCCATTTATTCAGGACAAAACAAAATTGAGTCTTCTTTTTCTTATGCTCTATATCCAATCTGTTAGAAAATCCTGTTTGTTTTCTATTTAAAATATATTCAGAGTCTAATTGTTTTCCATTGTTTCCACTATTACTGCTCTGCTCCAACCCACTGTCATTTCTTATATGAATGATTTCAATAGTTTCCTAATAGAACTTGTTTTTATAAGCCCAACCCCACTAAGTGAAGCCAGAGCTTAGCAGACAGATTGGTCCTTTCACCATGTATGTCAGATTACAACACTCAAATCTTGTCTCTGTTTTACTCAAAACTCTCCAATGCCTCTTCACACAATGGCCTACTAGGATCTACATCATCTGCCTGAACTACTCCTCTCTTGACATTATCTCTAACCAATTTCCCCTCGTTTATTCTACTCCAGCCACAATGCTGTTCTCAAATACTTAAGCAAATTTCCACCATATGGCTTCTGCACCGTTTGTTCGCTCTGCTTGATTATTCTTCCGCTATATATCCACATAGCTAACTCCTCACCTGTTTCTCAAATGTCACTTTCTCAATAAGCTGTACCATGCCCCTATTTAAGAGAGTGGTCCACCCCCACCAGTCCACCACTCCTGCTCATTGTCCATTCCTTTCACCCTACTTTAGTGCCACACACACACACCTGCTGCACTATAGCATTCCCAGCTTCCAGCAGATAGTACTTCTTTTTTTAATTTTCTAACTTCCTTCCCATAATAGAAATATAAGCTTCATGAAGAGAATGATCTTTGTCTTTTTTTTTTTTTTGGTAAATTTCTGATGTACTCTAACTGTTACCAGGGGGTCCCAGTTACCCCCCAAAATGGGCCTTTTCCTGTTCAGTGTCACAAGCAAGTATACGAAACTGAAAGTGAGCATTAGACAGTACAGGCTTTATCTGATGGCCATAAAATGCAGAAGTGGGAGTGTGGCTCTCAAATCAACTTATCACCTCCTGAGAGAGAACCAGGGAGTTACAGATATAGGGTATCTTCAGTGAAGGGGCTGGGCATTAAAAGCAAGCAGGGGAATATTTATGCTTTTCTTGGTAAGGAATGGAGATTTCCTAGGAGTCGCCTCTTTTCTGTCATTTTTTCATTTCTTCTGGTCATTGTCATGGTGATTATCAACTGTCAAGGCATCCAGGGGTGAGTCATTTGTCATGAAAATTGGATTACAATGAAGCTAGAGATTCATCAGAGGTCAAGCAAACTGCCAACATGGATTTCGCAAGTTTCAACTGGTTTAGTTCTAAGAATAAACTTTTGATCACAGACATGCTGTTTCCTAACAAAGTTAAGGCTGAGTAGGAATTCAGCTGTGTCATGTAGACATTGCCTTGGGCAACAAAAGCAGGGTAGGGGTCCAGCTAAGTCACATAGGCCCTGCAGCCGGTAATAGGAATTCAGCTATGTCATGTAGACATTGCCTTGGGCAACAAAAGCGGGGTAGGGGTCCAGCTAAGTCACATAGGCCCTGCAGCCGGTAATAGGAATTCAGCTATGTCATGTAGACATTGCCTTGGGCAACAAAAGCGGGGTAGGGGTCCAGCTAAGTCACATAGGCCCTGCAGCCGGTAACATAACCACAGACTCAGAGCAGGTGCTTAGTAAATATTTGCTGAATTACTGAATTGGAATTTTACATATTTATAAAAATTATTTAGATTCAGTGTTACCACTTAATGTCTAATTTTTCCCAGGCTTTATACTTAATAAAAGCAAGTATTATGTCCATCTTGTTCACTATTATACCTGTAAACTAGGCATGCTGACCAATATATAATAGGTACTCAAAGAATATTTGCTGAATGTGTAATCACCAAGGACAACAATGACAGATCTTTTAAAATTACTCAAAAACCATATATAGAAAAAAAATCGACAATGTGATTTAATCATGACTAATTCTGGATTTTGAATCCTCTCACCAAAGCACTCCTTTTCCTAGGGCAGATCATGTTACTCCACAAAGGAGCATAAAAGTGGCCAAGTTGTATGCCTTTCCCATAGTTCACACATTAGTCAATCTCAGTCAATCCATTAGTAAATCTTACTGAGAACTTGGGCAGACCTTGTTAACTTTCAGAGACCCTGGCCTTGATTCATAGAAATAGTCAGATGCCTGATCTATGGGTCTAATACCTATATTCCTCATTTGGCAATTAACCTGGAACAATATTGTATTAATTCTAATAATCTTTTAATTTTGTGTTGTTATTCAACTCATGTTTTCTTTTCTTATGTATGTGCACATGCATTTGTTGCATTTCCTCTGAGTAGTTCACAAACTGCTTGAGATCAGGAACTACATCATATTTCTTTGAATCTTAATTACATAATTTTTTGTTTCTTGGGTTTGGATTGCATGGTCATAGGTTCAGCCGTAACTTGAATGTCTATAATTCCTAAATCAAGCTAACGTTAAAAATACAGATGTCGCCAGTAATGTTAATAAATATTTTCCAAACATTCCGATTACCCAGAAGGGACCTAGAAAAAAGGTCAACAAAATTGATCTATGTCAATATTACCAGAATTATGAAACATCCCAAAAGTAGGAAAAGGATTTACGTATAGGGTCCTAGCATTGGGTAAGCATAGAAGGAGACAAGGCTACATATATATAAGCCAAAGCAAACAAAAGTCTGACAAAACCCCTGTGGTTTTAGGAAAACATAAAATATACAGCAATTAGACAAGAACAAGGGGTCATAACAGGCCTTAGCTACGCCAGCCTAGCAAATCCCTTGAAAAAACTGAGCTTGAAATGGTGAAATTCTAAGGATGTACTCCTAAAATAGTCTGCTTTAAATTCAAATCTCCAAGAATACTTGACAATAAGGCTCAAATACTTTAAAAAAGTAATATAAAGATATTCATAAAATTCAACCAATAGCATTATTCATTCTCATTTTTTCTTTCTGAAGGAAATAAAAAGAAACATTAACTTTGCTAGAAAACCAAAGCCCTGAAGGGATATTAGATGGAAGACTCATTTCACAAAGATCCGAATTGCCTGCAGGTTACTGCTGATCTAATTTGAAGTAATAATTTAAGAGAGAAAAGCTATCTATCTCATTATCTGCAACTTTTCATCAAATTATTCTTGAGGGTGCTACAATTATTTTCCATTATGTACTTTGTAAATTAATGTTTAAGTACCACAAAGAAAAGAGTGGTATTTCAGAGTAAAATTTTATTGGATTTTGTTCATCTTCAATTATTGAACCTGCATGATAGAAATGATAATAGAATGTTCTCTTCTTCCAACACTGAAGTGGTATTAATGAACCATTAATATCATCTTTCAAACAAAGAGCTTTCTACTTCTGTGCTCCTGCTCAGTTTGCGTCGAATTTTTCTGCTGTTCTAGCATAGAACAGCTCTTCCAGAGCCTAGAGAGAAAAAACTTCAGGGTAAGCCTGCTGTATGTTTCAAAAATATTCCATAACACTTAAGATGGCAACTCCTGTCCCTCACCTCTCCTAGGTCATTATCTAGGGCTTAATGTAATATAAGATCAAACAGCTATACATTAAAGAGACTATTTAGCTAGAAAGATATCATTTCTATTTGTCATGGAGGGAAATCGCATTGTTATTTCAGAAAATGTTTTATTCCAGAGGAGCAAAAGGTTTTCCACAGAGGTCTAGGCAGTTGTATTTGTACTACAGGAAGCCTCTTACCTTCTACAGACATGAGTCTTTGTCACATATAGCCTTTTAAATATTATGACAGTTTTATTCATAACATACGAAAACCACAAACCATGGGTTGATTGATTAAATCATAAAGGCATCTGTTGTGATAAGAAGGAATTCTTCAGCCGGGCGCGGTGGCTCACGCCTGTAATCCCAGCACTTTGGGAGGCCGAGGCGGGCGGATCACGAGATCAGGAGATCGAGACCATCCTGGCTAACACGGTGAAACCCCGTCTCCACTAAAAATACAAAAAATTAGCCGGGCGTGGTGGCGGGGGCCTCAGCTACTCGGGAGTCTGAGGCAGGAGAATGGTGTGAACCCGGGAGGCGGAGTTTGCAGTGAGCGGATATCGCGCCACTGCACTCCAGCCTGGGGCACAGAGGGAGACTCCGTCTCAAAAAAAAAAAGAATTATTCGTATCTTTCTAAAACTAAGTTCACATTTTTTTTTTCATTTTGAAAAGGTAGGTAAAATAAATGACAATTTACACAGTCACAGGTTCAGTCATTTTCAAGAGAATCATCCTGTGTCAGCCTTACCCAAAATTACGTTACTAGCTTAAGTCAATGGAGCTGCAATGTCCGCAAAAGTCACTTACTGAAGACCCATATTAAAATTAATGTAATTCTAGAAAAAGGTAAACCATGAAACTATTATCAATATATTTTCATAAGATATATTAAATCAACTAACCAGTCACTTTACAATACCTTGTGGAAATGGGAAAATGAACTGACGAGTGAGTTTTTCATGAGAGAGTCGACTCAAAATGTGCCCACTGGTTAGTACACAATCTGAGAAGACAAGGGCAGCACTACAGAGGGGCCTTGCTCAATCAGGAATCACATGAAGGCAGTGGGATATATCATGCTGGAAGGAGAAGACACCAAGAAAACAAGAATAGTCCCAAACAGGTGATGGAACCATATGTAGGATAAACTTCACTTAGCTTTATTCAACATTTGAGTAATATTCTAAAGTTTACAATGTGCTCTTACATACGATGTACTTTATTACATTCATAGTCACCTTGTAGGAAATGGAGGCAAATCATCACCCCAAACAGGAGAGGCCATTATCCCAAATTATTAATGAAGAAATTGAAATTCAAAGCATTTTTCCTGTCTATAACTTATTTGTTTATTAAAATATCCTTTTTGAGCACATGGTACTGTCACAGCTATGAGCATAAAGTACTGAAAAATATAGATATGCAATTCTTTCTCCCATGTAAATAACATTCTCATGGAAGTTTCATTTAATAAGTAGATACTTCAAAACAATTATTCTCAACTGCAATGTGTTTAAAAATATATGATAATTGCAAAACAATATATGATAGCAAGTAACTTTGGATATGATTATGAGGAAAAACTTCTTTAAACAGATGACATATGACTGAGACCTGAAGGATGACAAAACATTTGCCACTCCAACTATGGGAGGAGGTTGTTAAAGGAAGCTGGAAAAGCATGTGCATAGGCCCTGTGACATAATGGGGGTTAGGATGTCCAGGAGATGGAAAGTAGGAGTCATCGAGGTCAAACCCAGGCCTTCTCCAAATATGGCTCCCAGATTTATGGTGCTTTTAATTCACCTCTAACCCATTTTGAAACAAATGAAATATCCAAAAATCTCCCAACGGGGAGATTACAAGAGGCCTTCCTTATGCATGCAGGTCACCAGTGGTTTCCATGGATCATGTTGGTGGTCAATTTCTGACCTAACTAGCAAGTAATGTAGCCAAACTAATTTTACTGAAAATCCCAAAATCAGATTTTGTAGTCACAGAGCTACAGTTAATGGGATTTCCTGGAACCCAACAAAAAATAAGATAGCATAGTAACCAAGAGCACAGTCCTTGAAGACAAAGACCAAGATTTGAATACAAGTTCTGCTACTTACTGGCAATATAATCTTAGAAAAGTCATGTCATCTCACTGAGCCTCAGTTTTATTTTTCATAAAATAGATCTATACTACCACTATGCAGGACTGAAGTATGGATTCAATGAGAGACAGTATATAATTCACCTAAATCCAGAACTTTGGCAGAGGAAATATCTGATCTGATCTAACATAGACTTTTCCTCTTGTATTGAATGAGTCTTACCATCATCTAAATTTCCCAGACCATTTTTGCCCCCAATATAGCTATTTCTGAGACATCATACTTTTCTAACCAAAATCTTATTCTCAGTCTTTGAATATGTATTTGTGCATCTGTTATATACGGAACCACAAAGGAGATTGGACTATTAAGTAGCTGCCTAGAGAAGCAATTTTAATTACACTCTTATCCTTGGGAGTATGCACTTTGACCAATTTTATTATTATATCAAAGTTTATGTTTTGATACTATTTTAAGTACAGCTTCTTAAAGAGAAATGTTCTTGTTGAGAATGCATCATAAACAAAGTAAAATATGTCACTGCCATTCTTCAGGTTTGTGTATACAATGCACATTTTAAATTGTGAAAGGTAATTTTAATAAATTTAATAGCAAAGAAGGAAATCTAAGTTTGAGAGATGAAAGAGAAAATGATAAAAGGGAAAACACAATGAATAGAATTCTATGTTACACAGCACATGGTGTAGAAGTAGGTATCTGTGACTTCAGTAAAGAGCTTGCTTTTATTTCGCTGGGCCACATAGTAGTTCTCAAATTTGGTAATATATACGATTCCTCATTAAATATTAGATTTCACTAAATTAGTTCAAGATGATATGAAATACACTGAAAAGTTTGTGTAATCCTTAAAGCCACTATGCCTACATTTTAAGTGGCTTTCAGCAACTGAACTATGACAGTATGTAAACCAAGTTTATATTGCTGAGAAAGAAGGTATGTAGCCCATGATCCATAGTTCTTATATACTTTCAAACATAGTAACAAGTGTATCAGTGAACATATTATGTTTAAAGTTGTTTCTTTAATGCTGTAATGTAGAAATTAGCACTGCTTAAAAAGCTGTGCAATATAATTGATTACATAGGGAATCTATAAATTTTGTTAACTTTGAACTCCAGTTCCTTAGGATGCAATAGGTCACCACTGTCTGTTTTATTTTCCATATTGGTAAGTTTAGTTTAATAATATAAAAGCTACCCTCACTTTGCAATGTGTGGAAACTTTCAGTGGCATGTGCCATAAAGCATTTGAATGCTTTGGAGCTAGAGGAAGGTTTTTTAACAACGTGACATAGAAAATATTTTGGTGTCCATATTTCTGCTCAGTCAGAAAAGAAACTTCATGCTTAAGAAAGTAGCAAAAAACACATCTGTCACCACACAGGCACAGAAATCAACACACCAACATAGCATCCAGAATGCTCAGACTGAATGAAAGACTCAAGCACAGTCATTCTGGAAATAATAACTAAAGTAGCTAATCAAGTTTTCAGAAAGTTGTAGAATGTTTTCTTAGCTAGACAGAGACAAGTAATTGCCCTGCGTGTCTAAGCATTTGGTCCTCCTTTAAACCAACACTACTTACATATACAAGATTTTTTTCCAACGTTTTTTAGCTAGGTGGGGAGAAAATAAGTTTCTATTAATAAAAAGTTTGTGCTTCTTAATATTCAAAACTAGAACTGATATCAATGTTATAAAACATTTTCACTTGAACTGTGCCTTCAGATTTTAATTACTATATTATTCACGATGGAATAGTTTGCATCACTCACATCCAATAAAAGTAAAAATGAGTATAATTTAAAAGTTCAGGTCTAAATAACTACAATTTCTCCTTTTGGCTGACATTCTGGGCAGCAAATCTTACCTCACGTTTCTGCATTCCTGTTTTCAGTTCAGTGTTCTTTTGTATTTGCTTTCGACCCATGACTGAAGTTGTCACATTGATGCTGCCAATTCTCTGTGCCTTTGTAAGTGAGAAAAACTTTTCCTTCTCCTCATATGGGGAAAGTAATAAGTCATTTACAAAGGCCTGTTTGTAATTGTGGCCTTTAGCGTCTGTGGACTGCGTTTTAGGTGCATTATGAGAGATTAATTGACCACAGAACTCTCTTTTGTTAGGACTGTAGAAACATCTGATTCAAATAACTCTATCACCAAAAGGAAAGAAGAGTAATGCAAAGGAACATTAAGCTAACAATTAATAAACAAAAATATAGAATAAAATAACTGTGGAGCACATTAAAATATTTGGTAAATAAATGCAGGATTATATCTGGATCCAGGTTTATGTAATGTTTCTAATCAAAGTGAATCATTGAATAAATCAGACGGGTTTGATTATTTTGGTTTAAAAACACAATTAAATGTCTTCCTTCTGATTTTATCAAAGTATAGAACATTACCAACATGGCATTTCATTTTATATAAAATTTTATTTGTTTTCTCATGGAATAATTAATTAATTTGAATCATTTAAATTTTCTATACTGGCTTCGTGAGTCAAATTTATTTTCATTATTTTCAGAAGTATTTAAAGTATAAAAATGCAAATATATGTATTTAATTATATTAAAATGTAATACTTTTGTTTTTTTAAAAAAGGAACTATTAGTATTTGTGAACTTCAAACATCGTTGCAAATTATTTGACCTGAACACTATTCTTACATTTCTCTACATCCTCACCAACATTTGTTATTTTCCAGGTTTTTGTTTGTTATTATTTTTCATTACTTGGTGAGTTTGAAGTGGTATCTCTTTGTGGTTTTGATTTGCATTTACCTAATGAATAGTAATGTTGGGCAACTTTTCATGTGTTTGTTGGACATTTTTATAATCATTTTGAAGAAATGTTTATTCAAACCCGTTGCCCATTTTTAATTGGTTCATTTTTATTTTTCTTATTTAGTTTCATGAGTTCTTTACACATTCTGAATACAAGATCCTTATGAGACATTTGAATCTTGCAAATATTTTCCCCCATTATGTAGTTGCCTTTTCACGTCCTTGATAGTAAACTTTGAAGCACAGAAGTTTTTAACTTTAATAAAATTAAAAAGGTATCCATTTTTTCATATGTTGCTCATACTTTAAGTGTCATATCTGAGTCTTTCTCAGTCTAAGGCCATAAATATTTACATCTAAGTTTTCTGCTAAGAATTTTATAATTTTACCTCTTACATTTAGGTATTTGATCCATTTTTGTAAGGGATGTTGGATGTTGTCAAATGCTTTATCTGTCTCTACTGAGATGATGTGCTTTCTGTCCTTTATTCTACTAATATAGTGTATTATATTAATTGATTTGCATATGTTAAATGAGCCTTGAATTCCTAAAATCAATTCCACTTGGTCATGGTTTATAATCCTTTTTATATGTTGCTGGATTTGGTGCTAATATTTTTTAAGGGTTGTTGCATAGCTATTGATAAAAATATTTTGATCTGTAACTTTTTGCTCCCCCTCCCATGTCTTTGTCTAGGTTTTGTAACAAGGTAATACGGGCCTCCTGGAATAAGTTGGGAAGTGTTACCTCCTCCTCTTCTATTATTTGGAAGAGTTTGTAAAATATTGATGCTAATTCCTTTTTAAACATTTGGTAGAATTTATGACTGGGATCATTCAGTCTTGGCTTTTCTTTGTTAGAATAGTTTTAGTTATAAATTGAATCTCCTTACTTCTTATAGGTCTATTGAAATTTTCTATTTCTTCTTGACTCAGTTTTGGTAGTTTGTATCTTACTACAATTTTCCATTTCATCTGTGTTATCTCATTCGTTGGCCTAAAATTGTTCATATAATTCCCTTGTAATCTATTCTTTCTTTTTTGTTTTTTAACTCTTATTTTAGGGTCAGGGGCACATGTGCAGGTTTGTTATATAGGTAAACTCATGTCACATGGGTTTATGTACAGATTATTTCATCACCCAAGTACTAAGACTAATACCCAATAGTTATTTTTCCTGCTCCTCTCTCTCTTCTCACCCTCTAACGTTAGGTAGG
Source organism: Homo sapiens (assembly GCF_000001405.40). Lineage (NCBI taxonomy): Eukaryota > Metazoa > Chordata > Mammalia > Primates > Hominidae > Homo > Homo sapiens. The sequence goes on along the minus strand of NC_000012.12, from coordinate 33,579,830 downwards.
CCTCAGTGGCTGTTGTTCCCCTTTATGTGTCCATGTGTTATCATCATTTAGTTCCCGCTTATAAGTTACAAGATATGATATTTCATTTTCTGTTCCTGCATTAGTTTGCCAAGGATAATGGCCTAGCTCCATTCATGTTCCTGAAAAGGACATAACCTCATTCTTTCTTCTGGCTGCATAGACTTCCATGGTGTACAAGTACCATATTTCCTTTATCCAATCTTCCATTCACAGGTAATTGGGTTGATTCCATGTCTTTGGCATTGTGAATAGTGCTGTAATGAACATATGTGTGGATGTCTACAAACTAGAACAATTTATACTCCTTCAGGTGCATACCCAGTAATGGGATTGCTGGGTCAAATGGTAGATCTCTTTTCAGCTTTTTGAGGAATTGCCACACTTCTTTCCACATTGGTTGAACTAGTTTACACTCTCACCAACAGTGTATAAACATTCCCTTTTCTCTGCAACCTCGCCAGCATCAGTTGTTTTTTGACATTTTAATAATAGCCATTCTGACTGGTTAGAGATAGTATCTCATTGTGATATTTATTTGCATTTCTTTAATGATCAGTGATGTTGAGCTTTTTTTTAATATGCTTGTTTGCTGCATATATGTCTTCTTTTGAAAACTGTCTGTTCATGTCCTTCACCCACTTTTTAATAGGCTTGTTTTCTTCTTGTAAATTTGTTTAAACTCCTTATAGATACTGGATATTAGATCTTTGTCAGATGCATAGTTTGCAAACATCTTCTCCCATTCTGTAGATTGTCTGTGTACTCTGTTGATAGTTTCCTTTTCTGTGCAGAAACTCTTTAGTTTCACTAGATCCCATTTGTCAATCTCTGCTTTTGTTGCAATTGCTTTTGGGAGTCTTCATCATGAAAATTTTGCAATTTCTTATGTCCAGAATGGTATTGTGTAGATTGTTTTCCAGGGTTTTTATAGTTTTTGGTTTTACATTTAAGTCCTTAATCCATCTTAAGTTGATTTTTGTCTATGGTGCAAAGACATTTTGTCTACGGTGCAAGGACTTTTTGTCTACGGTGAAAAGACTTTTAAGTTGATTTTTGTCTGTGGTGCAAAGAAGGAGCCCAGTTTCAGTCTTCTGCAGTATGGCTAGCCAGTTGTCTCAGCATCATCTATTAAATAGGGATTTTTTTCCCCATTGCTTATTTTTGCCAGATTCATCAAAGATCAGATGGTTGTATGTGTGCAGCCATATTTATGAGCTCTCTATTCTGTTCCACTGGTCTAAATGTCTGTTTTCGTATCAGTATCATGCTGTTTTGATTACTGTAGCCCTATGATAGCATGATGCCTCCTGCTTTGTTCTTTTTGCTTAGGATTGCCTTGGCTACTTGGACTCTTTTGTGGTTCCGTAAGAATTTTTAAATAGTTTTTTCTAGTTCTGTTAACATGTAATTGGTAGTTTGATAAGAATAACACTGAATCTATAAATTGCTTTAGGCCATATGGCCATTTTAATGATATTGACTCTTCCTATTCATGAGCATGGATTTTTTATCCATTTGTTTGTGTCATTTCTGATTTCTTTGAGCAGTGTTTTGTAATTCTCATTACAGAAATCTTTCACCTCCCCACTTAGCCGTATTCCTAGGTATTTTATTCTTTTTGTAGGAATTGTAAATGGAATTGTTCTTAATTCAGCTCTCAACTTTGCTGCTATTGGTGTACAGGAATGGTCGTGAGTTTTGTATGTTGATTCTGTATTCTGAAACTTTGCTGAAGTTATCAGCTTAAGGAGTATTTGGGCCAAGACTAAGGGGTTTTCTAGATACAGGATCACTTCATCTTCAAACAAGGGTTGTTTGGTTTTCTCTATTGTTATTTGGAGGCTCTTTGTTTCTTTTTCTAGCCTGACTGCCCTGGCCAGGACTTCCAATACTATGTTGCATGGGAGTGGTGAGAGAGGGCATCCTTGTCTTGTGCCTGTTTTCAAGGGGGAATGCTTCCAGCTTTTGGCCATTCGGTATGATGTTGATTGTTGGTTTGTCATATATTTGGTCTTATTATTTTGAGATATGTTCCTTGAATACCTAGTTTTTTTGAGTTTTTAACATGAAGGGATGTTGAATTTTATCAAAAGCCTTGTCTGCATCTATTGAGATAATCATGTGGTTTTTGTCTTTAGTTCTGTTTATGTGATGAATCATGTTTATTGATTTGCATATGTTAAGCCAACCTTGCATCCCAGGGAAAAAGCCTACATGATTGTGGTGGATTAGCTTTTTGATATGCTGCTAGATTTGGTTTGCTCATATTTTGCTGAAGATTTTTGTATTGATGTTCATCAAGGATATTGGCCTGAAGCTTTCATTTTTTTGATGTATCTCTGCAAGGTTTTGGTATCAGGGTGATGCTGGCCAAATTGAATGAGTTGAAAAGGAGTCTCTCCTCATTTTTTCGGAATATTCTCCATAGGAATGGTACCAGCTTTTCTTAGTACATCTGGTAAAATTCAGCCCTGAAGCTGTCTGGTCCTGGGCTTTTTTTTTTTTTTTCTGGTTGGTGGACTATTTATTACTGATTCATATTGGAGCATGTTATTCATCTGTTAAGGTATTCAATTTGTTCCTGCTTCAGTCTCGGGAGGGCGTATGTGTCCAGGAATTTATACATTTCTTCTAGGTTTTCTAGTTTTTGTGCATAAAGGTGTTCATCATAGTTTCCAATTGTTATTTTTATTTCTGTGGGGTCAGTGAAAATTCCCCCTTTGTATTTCTGATTGTGTTTATTTGGATATCTCTTTTATTCTTCATTAGTCTAGATAGTGGTCTATCTTATTAATTATTTTAAAAACTCAGCTCCTGGATTCATTGATCTTTTGAATAGATTTTCACACCTCAATCTCCTTCAGTTCAGCTCTGATTTTGGTTATATCTTGTTCTGCTAATTTTGGGATTGGTTTGCCTTGCTTCTCTAGTTTTTTCAGTTGTGATGTTAGGGTGTTAATTTGAGATCTTTCTTACTGTTTGATGTGGACAGTTAGTGCTATAAATTTCCCTCTTGACACTGCCTTAGCTGTGTCCCAGAGATTCTGGTATGTTGTATTTTTGTTGTTATTAGTTTCAAAGAACTTCTTGATTTCCACCTTAATTTCATTATTTACCCAAATGTCATTCAGGAGTAGTTGTCTAACTTCCATGTAATTGTATGCTTTTGAGCAATTTTCTTAGTCTTAAATTCTATCTTTATTGTGCTGTGGTCCTAGAAAGTGGTTGGTGTGATTTTTGTTGTTTTGCATTTGCTGAGGATTGTTTTATGTCCAATTGTGTAGTCAGTTTTAGAGTATGTGCCATGTGGCAATGAGGAGAATGTATATTCTGCTGTTTTGGGGTGGTGAGTTCTGTAGATGTCTATCAGGTCCATTTAGTCCAGTGTTGAAGTCAGGTCTTCAACATTTTTGTTAATTTTCTGACTCGATCATCTATCTAATACCGTCAGCAGGGTGTTGAAGTCTCCCACTATTATTGTGTGGGAGTCTAAGTCTCTTTGAAGATCTTTAAGAACTTGCTTTATGAATCTGGGTGCTCCTTTGTTAGGTCCATATATATTTAGGATAGTGAGGTCTTCTTATGGAATTGAACCCTTTACCGCTATGTAACTATATGGAACGGTCAAGAATTTGCATGTCATCCTTGTGCATGGGCCATGCTAACCTTCTCTGTATCATTCCAGCTTTAGTACATGCACTGCCACCATTATTTCTCTAAGGTCAATAATTATGTACCTTCTTTCTTTCCTGATTTTAGTAATGTGAGTCTGCTTTATTTGATCAACCTAAATAAAGTTTTGTCAATTTTGTAGATGTTTTAAAGAATTGACTTTTGGGTTTTTAAATATCTTTTTTTTTTCAGTCTCTATTTCATCAATTTCCACTCTCATCTTTGTTATACCCTTCCTTCTATTCCTTCTATTTGCTTTGGCAGTTGGGGTCATCCTCTGGTGTGAATGACCCCACAGGGTCTGCCCCAACAGAAATCTACCCCAACTCCACAAAGCAAATAGAAGGAAGGAGGGAGTTTAAGGTAGGAGTTTAGGTTATTGATTTGAGATCTTTCTCCTTTTTTAATATAGGCATTAACAGATAAAAACTTCCCTATCAGTACTACTGTCTCTACATCCAATAAGTTTGGAATGTTGTGTTTTCATTTTCTTTGACCTTAAAGTATTTTCTAATTTCCCTTGCAACTTCCTCTTTAACACATTTGTCTCCTAATGAGAGATGTCACGCTGCATGGGGTGTTACTCCCATCTACTGCTAGCAGATTGAATTTAACAAACCTTTGATTCTCTCTCGTAGCTATTGGTGATGCCTCATTGCAAACTGACACTTGGTCTTGTTATGTTTTGCCCTTCTCGACTAATCACTTAACTCTGGCCACACAGTTATGACCTTTGAAACTAATCTGTGTCATATGTTTGGCTCTCCAGATGATTAGGACTGAGAGTGGTACATTTTTTATTACAAAAATTTTATTACAAAATTTTTATTTTGCCATCAATAGGCATCTGATGTTGTTGAGCGTGTATACAGGCTTATCAAAAATTGACTCTAAAAGATTCATGATTTTATCTCCCTCAATGTCTCCTGGTCCACACATCCTAACAAGACACTTTAATCACTAATTACAGCTGTCCCTAGAAAAGAATCAGCTCTTCTTAGAGACTTTCTGGGTAATGAATGGGATGAAAGTATTGGAGAATTATATAGACCTATTTTGAAATTTTAGGATTGTGTCTTGATTATTTTTGAGTGTGATACTTTTTTTTCTCTCTAATTACAAGCTGAAGCTGGTCTTATTGTCATACACTTTAAGGGGGCCCAGAGGATTTCAATTTAATTCTAGTTCAGCCACCTGCATTCTCTTGTTGGACTGACATGATCCCACATCATAAAAATAATGACTACTATATTGAATACAGTGCTGACTGAGTCTCCCTATATTGGCTCAGGCAAAATAAGATAAATGATATAGTGGGTCTCCATAAATTTTATAAAAGTGTCCTTTACCTCTCACACACATTCCCTCCATATCTGGTTGCAAACTGGACATGACTGGAAGAAGAAGTAAAATTATAGCTATTGGATTGGGACATACTTGCTTGTTTGTTTGTTTAGTAATAGTGAAGGAAACAAACAACCCAGGCATATGAGAAAAAAAATATTTTACATCTATGGAGTAAGTGAGGTATTAATGATCTTTCATCAAAACCTCTTGTAGCCACCCTCGTTACTAAAAACATGATGTTTCTCTCCTAAACCATTGTAAGTGTCTAGAATTTAATGGATTCATGGGGTCTGTCTAATTACAACCCTCAACCCCACTGACTCTATTTTATGATAGCCATTTCCCTTAATCCTTCCAAGAAATCTGCCAAAAACACCAGAGGATGACCCCAACTCCTGAACCTCTCAGGCAAAACCTATCAGTATCTCCAGATGTCTTCCCTATTCTCATTCCCAGAGCCACTACTCAACCACACATGGGTTGGACAAATGCCACCCAGTTGGTGGCATGAATAAATAGGACAGTTTGGGCTGAGTGCCCTCAGGAAATCCCTCCAAAAATCAGGACTTGACTCAATTATTCAAATTGAATTAAGAATCTGACAGTTTATCAGCTGGCCAGGAGGTCATGTTGAAGACACTATAAAATTCTGCCCCTACTGATGTAGGTTCTACTTGGAGGTTCCCAACAATTGTTAGCAAACCTTTATTTCCAGTGGTACCACATGCACCCTTGGGACTGTACTTCTTGTATGGAAGCCAGACATTAACTTCCCTCCCTCCCCAAAACACTGCGACTTGCACCTTAGTGGTGGTCATAAGAGATTTTCCAGTGTTAAAGGAAACCCCAGCAGTGGATTATAATGTAGTCCTTAGATGACCATGACTACCTCTCTAAAATGAAACTACACGTGATTACTTGGAGGAGCTACCTGGATAATTGGAGCTACCTGGAGGGATAATTGACTTCTTATTTTTGTGCTCTGTAAGCAGTTGTCCCTACAGTGTGGTCATTCAATTAGAAAAGGTGGTATGAAATTTGTTTCTTACTTTAGCTGAAGTGGTCAATGACACCACTTTAGTCCTAGAAGTCATCAGGTCAGCTCAATTTACTGGCCAGGGTTGTTATGGATAGATAGGTGCAAACCAATATGAGGTCTGTGCAATTGCTTTTGTAACTGTATTAATGTCCCAGGTCAAATGGAGCCATCAATACAGAAACTTAAAAAGAAAGCCACATGGCTTCTAAGATAGACTGTAATGGTTTGTGACTTTTATTTCTGTTGGTTAAATCTTGGACCCTGGGAAGCACAGTTAAGCTCAACACAGAAGGTCAACAGCCACTGATTTGAATCCTATTGGTAGTAGCCTTAACTAAATGCTTGTGTAAGACCAATTAGATACACTAATTCCCAGCCTCTGTCAGATTAATCACAGTCACCAACAGAGTGGCATCCTCAGGGGAAAATTTGCCAGAAGCCAAGATAGTTTAGAAAAGAATAAACCTCTATTTCTCTTTTACTTTTCTACATAGATTGCGAGTGAGGTATTGCTCCTCCTTTTTCAGGATTATCTTTTCAAGAATAAAACATGAACAGCCTTGGAAGATTGTACCACTCTCCAGAGGAAAGAATAGGTTTGCTTATGCTTACTCTCTAGTATAATAAAGATAATTGTTCCCTCTGTGGTAAAATGATAGGCCTTCTTACCACCCATTATAAAAGATTTGGGTTTCCTAAGTTCAGTATTTTCCTTTAACATAATCCACTATTTGTCTAGCATCTCTTTGGGTCCTATAAAACTTGGGGGCATAAGGGAATTGATGAAAATATGCTGATACTTATATTGCCCATTGTTCCATAGTAATAAACTCCTTTCTCTTTGACCCAGGACTCTTATATCTTCTGCCAGCATAATACGACAGGCTAATATGATAGTGTAAATGTAGGGTAATATATTAGACACTTCACAGTTCTTGACTGCAGGAGAGAAAACACTCCAAAAAAAAAAAAAACTTTTATCATACTACAGGGTGTAATTCACTTTTGTATCTAATTTAGAAATTTTATTTCAGCATTTTTTCATTAGTTTTATCATCCTAGTTTTTAAAATCCATTTCAATCCTCTGTTTTTCTGTTAGTTATCATCTTAATGATTAAAGTAAAAATGTGATGTGCTCACAATGCGTAGAATTTTGTCTGTAACAATTTAAGGATTTTGCCTTTATAATAGCATAATCTCACTAACAATGGGCTCTATGACTCCTCCCTCTTTTCTATCTCTTCCAGCATACTTTATGAAATTGAATTAATGAATAGGAAATTTTATACTTTTATACTTTGCTCTGCTTTTTTCATGTCCTGCATGTTTCCAACAAGATTTGACAAGTTTTGAACCAAAGAATACATTTATATACATATAAAATAACAAGCACATGAAAAGAAAAAGAAATCCAGAAAGTGTATATAGTTATTACTATCATTCTCCAAATGGATAAATGACTGACTAATATATGAGTGAATGATTTAGCTATGTGTATAAGTAGCTGGAATTAGAGATTTAATCACTCTTTATTAACCATTGTTTTCATATACCCAATTTTTTTTATTTTTGCATTTTTTTGAAGTAGAGCTAACCAACTCTGAAATATATTGTTTGTATAATAAAATATTGTTTTAAATATAACTAATATTTTCCAGGAGATCATAGATTATAATTGGATATGTGTTACATCAGAGCATATCAAAGAATAATATGCTTTTTAAAATATAGAAATATACATATGCAGATGCACCTTGACTTATGATTGGGTTACATCCCTATAAGCCCATTGCAAGTTAAAAATATCATAAATCAAAAATGTATTTAATACCCCAATAAACCCACCAGAAGCAAAAAAAAATCATAAGTTAAACCATCATAAGTTGGACTATCATCAGGAATACAGGATTGTCTGTATTTCTTTCTAAATATTAGAATACATACACCATGTGTATATGTATCATATATACATATTATATATATGTGTATATATATATATAATGCAAAGAAAGAAAAGCGTGCAGGATTTTATTCTTCCTTTATCTACTAAAAGCCCATAGACATTCCACTTATATATCACAAGATTTCAGCATTTCAGTATTATTCTCAATTCATTTGAGAAAACATCACTGAAATTCTGTATGCAGACAAGCAAACATGCTATGTTCTTCTAAATCTAATTACTCAAATCTTCATTAATACAAGTAAAGTAGCACAAAGGGAGCAGCAGTATTCAATTAAAATAATTATGAAGGCTAGAGCTCCCCTTGATAGAGCACAAACAATTATATATACAGGTTTTCTGTGCAATTAATACATATATCCCCATGGTAAACCTGAAAACCATAATACAAACTGCACAGAGCTGAACAACTCTAGGCACAAAATCTAACAACCTCTGATGTAAATAGGGCTTTTAAAATTTATTTTTATTTCAACAGGTTTTTGAGGACCAGGTAGTGTTGGGTTACATGAATTTCTCTAGTGGTGATTTCCAAGATTTTGGTGCATCCATCACCCAAGCAGTGTACACTGTACCCAATGTGTAGTCTTTTATCCCTCACCCCACTCCCACCCTTTCCTCCCAGTCCCCAAAGTTCATTTTATCATTCTTATGCCTTTGCATCCTCAAAGTTTTTCTCCCACTTATGAGTGAGAACATACGATGTTTGTTTCCCCATTCCTGGGTTACTTCACTTAGAATAATAGTCTCCAGTTCCAGCCAGGTTGAAGTGAATGCCATTATTTCGTTTCTTTTTATGGCTGGGTAGTATTTTATGCTATTTATATACCACATGTTCATTATCTACTCATTGCTTGATGGGCATTTGGGCTGGTTCCATATTTTTGCAATTGCAAACTGTGCTACTATAAACATGCTTATGCATGAATCTTTTCATATAATGACTTCTTTTCCTCTGGGTAGATATCCAGTAGTGGGAATGCTGGATCAAATGGTAGGTCTAATTTTAGTTCTTTAAGGAATCTCCACACTGTTTTCCATAGTGGTTGTACTAGTTTACATTCCCACCAACTTTGTAAAAGTGTTCTCATTTCATTACATCCATGTCATCTATTATTTTATGATGCTTTGATTATGATCATTCTTGCAGAACTGAGGTGGTATCACATTGTCGTTTTGATTTGCATTTCCCTGGTAATTAGTGATGTTGAGCATTTTTTCCATATGCTTCTTGGCCATGTGTATACCTTCTTTAGAGAATTGTCTATTCAAGTCCTTAGCCCACTTTTTGATGGGATTGTTAATTTTTTTCTCACTGATTTGTTTGAGTTATTTGTAGATTCTGCATATTAGTCCTTTGTTGGATGTATACATTGTGAAGATTTTCTCGCACTCTGTGCGGTGTCTGTTAATTCTGCTGATTATTTCTTTTGCTGTGCAGAAGCTTTTTAGTTTAATTAAGTCTCGTCTATTTATCTGTGTTTTTGTTGAATTTGCTTTTGAGTTCTTGGCTATAAAGTCTTTGCCTAAGCCAATGTCTAAAAGGATTTTCCCAATGTATCTTCTAGTATTTTTATGGTTTCAGGTCTTAGATTTAAGTTTTTAACTCATCTTGAGTTAATTTTTTGTAAAGTGCGATATGAGAACCCAGTTTCTTTCTTCTACATGTGGCTTGCCAATTATCCCAACACCGTTTATTGAATATGGTGTCCTTTCCCCACTTAGTGTTTTTGTTTGCTTTGTCAAAGACCAGTTGGCTGTATTTGGGCTTATTTCTGGGTTCTCTGTGCTGTTCCAGTGGTGTATGTGCCTATTTTTACACCAGTGTCATGCTGTTTTGGTGACTATGGCCTTTTAGTATAGTTTGAAGTCAGATAATGTGATGCCTCCGGATTTGTTCTTTTTGCTTAGTCTTGCTTTGGCTGTGAGTCTCTTTTTTGGTTCCATATGAATTTTAGGATTGTTTTTCCTAATTTTGTGAAAAATGATGGTGGTATTTTGATAGGAATTGCATGAATTTGTAGATTGCTTTTGGCAGTATGGTCATTTTCACAATATGGATACCACCCATCTGTGAGCATGTGACGTGTTTCCATTTCTTTGTGTCATCTGTGATTTCTTTCGGTAATGTTTTGTAGTTTTCCTCGTAGAGGTCTTTCACCTCCTTGGTTAGGTATATTCCTAAGTATTTTTTTTTTTTTGGCAGCTATTGGAAAAGGGATTGAGTTCTTGATTTTATTTTCAGCTGGTCACTGTTGTTGTATAGCAGAGCTACTGATTTGTGTAAGTTAATTTTGTATCTTGAAACTTTGCTGAAATTCATTTATCAGTTCTAGGAGCTTTCTGGGTGTCTTTAGGGTTTTCTAGGTAAGTGATCATATCATCAGTAAACAGCACCTGTTTGACTTCCTCTTTACCGATTTGGATGCCCTTGATTTCCTTCTCTTTTCTGACTGCTCTGGCTTGGACTTCCAGCACCATGTTGAATAGAAGTGTGAGAGTGGACATTCTTCTCTTGTTCCAGTTCTCAAGGGAAAATTTTCAACTTTTCCCCATTCGGTATTATGTTGGCTGTGGGTCTGTCACAGATGGCTTTTATTACATTAAGGTAATAATTCCACTTATATGAAAACTCTTTTTTAAAAAAATCAAACTCATAGAAACAGAGAGTAGAATGAGGTTGTCAGTGGCTGAGGGGTTAGGTAATTGGGGAGATGTTGTTAAAGGGTACAAACTTTCAGTTATAACATGAAAGTACAAACTTTCAGTTGTAAGTTCTGAGGGTCTACCGTACAGCATGGTGACTGTAGTTAATAATATTATATTCTATACTTGAAATTTGTTAAGGTAAAAGAGTAGATCTTCAGTGTTTTCACCAAAGGAAACAAAACATAACTATGAGAAGTGATGGATGCATGGTCATCATTTCACAATGTATAGGTACATAAAATTATCACATTGTAAACTTTAAATATATGCAATTTAATTTATCAGTTATACTTCAATGAAGGTAAAAAAATTAAAATTTTTAATTACAAAAACACTGAGTAACTAGAAGAAGCAATAAAGACTGGAAATCAAAAATAGAGAAAATTAATAAAGCCTAATGTAAGTTTGAAAAAATAAAATCAATTGATCAAAAAAAGGAAAAGAAAAGTAGATTCCTAACATTAAGAATGAGTGTGTTCCTACATATATCACAGATACCAAACTATAACAAGAAAATACTATAAATGCCAATAAATTTAACAACTTAGAAATATTGGACAAATTTCTTGAAAAATGCTAATTAGCAAAACTTATACAAAATGAAATAAAAAATATCGGTTGCCCTAATAATTTTCAAAAAAGTTTCTATTTGTTATCAGAAACCTTCCCACAAAAAATTACCAGGTATATATGTGCTTATTAGTAAATTCTACCAAAAATTATAGAAGAAAAATTACAAAATGTATGCATTCATTCAGAATATAAAAAATAAACATTGCTTATTCATTACATGATGCTAGCAGGGTCCTGACATCAACCTCTGGCAGAGACATTGCATGAAATAAAAATTACAGCTAAAAATCTTAGGAAATGCCAGCAATATATAAAATAGGCAATGTATCATGAGCAAATAGGGCACAAATCTCAAAGGCAGGGAAAATTTTTTACATCAATACTTGTAAGCAAGTATCGATTGAAAATGGCAAAAATAAGCTAAGTAACAAGAAAATATCTTAATATTTAGGGCTGGATATAATAATCTAAGATCATAGAGTATAAGGATCTTAATCCTTCTCACTTGCTAAGTGCTTAACACAGTCCTGAACATATAGAGGGAGTCAGTAAATATCTATGATTTGGTGGACTGGTTAAAAGCTTTTCTTTTTCTAATCAATTCTAAAGAATTTCATGCTTCAAATTTGACAGCCATCTGGACAAAGTTTGGAAATTTGGAAAAAAATGATGAGTAACTCCTCCTATGAGTCACTTAAATTTAACGAATAATAGATATATTATTGCAGGAAAGGAACACTGAGTTTTATATCTTAAAAATCAAATGCAACTTTCTGATAAGGTGTATTGAGTATAAATGTAACTTAACTGTAATATCAAATGCATCATTTTGACAGAGGAAAGGAAACTTGTTTGAAAACAAAATATTTTAACAGGGTTATGCTAAATCTTTTAATTACTAAGGTAATACAAATACATTTAAAATTTTTGATTAGAGAACTACAGTATTCTCACTATTCTAAAAAACTTGTAGAAGTTTTCTCACTATTCTAAAAAACTGTAGGCTTACTGATATATTTTCTTCCAGTATTTTTACATTATAATTATTTACATATTGGATACTGCATTGTGCATACAAATATGTTTCATATTTTTAAAACATTACATTATAAATGCAAAGAAATTATTTAAAGGATATGAAAATAAAGTGCTAAATTTTACAAAGCATTTCCAGAAAAATATATACCTGTACTAACTTGCTCACTGGTTCATTTCAGCAATCATAGTGCAATTTGAAAGGGAACATTTCAAATGAGAAATGAAGAGCATGCTATGAATATTAACTAAATACATAAACTATTTTAAAATCTAGTAGGTGTTGTAGCTTAATCAGAGATTTAACTTAACCAGAGGTTGTCTTTTATTTTCTATCTTGAATTTCAGTTAATATCATCCGGGCTACTTTTGTTACCTGCTCAGCTACAGAATTAGTGTTGGAACAGCTTTCAGATTTATTAAATTTAGTTTAAAATCCTTAATTACTTCAACAGGAAAAAAAGTGATTTCTTTATATTTTGTTTATTTTTATTTTTATTTACAATCAAGAGCCATATTTGCTCTCTAGAAGTCTGAAAACTTGAATGATCACTACTGGAAACCTGATTCTAAATACAGGCCCTATAGTAGAATTTTGAGATGGGGCTCAAATTTCTCTGCCCCTAGTGTACACACACTTTCTCTCGGTTGTTGAAACAAACACTAATATAAGTACTGCTGTGAAGGTGTTTTGCAGATAAGAGTTGTGAGCCAGCTAATGACATTTAGATCACTGATGGACTGAATACATAATGGCGGTCCCATAAAGTTATAATGGAGCTGAAAAATTCCTAATAATGTCCTAAAAAAATTCCTAGTGACATCCTAAAAATTCCTAGTGACGTCATGATGTCATAGCACAACACATTACTCACATTTGTGTTGATGATGGTGTAAGCAAATCCATTGTGCTGCCAGTGCTATAAATGTATAGAACGTACAATTACATATAGTCCATAATACTTGATAATGATAATAAATGATTATGTAACTGGTTTATGTGTTTCCAATATTAAACTTTTTATTGTTTTTAGAATGTACCCCTTCTACTTAAAAAAAAACAACAAAAAAGTTAGCTGTAAAACATCCTCAGGCAAGTCCTTCAGTGGGACAGGATGTGGAGGTGAAAGACGGTGATACTGATGATCCAGAATTTGTGTAGGACTAAGCTAGTGTGTGTGTTTGTGTTTTACTTTTTGACATAAAGCTTAAAAAGAGGAAAAGATAAATAGAATTAGAATATTAAAAAAGAAAATATTTTTGTACAGCTGTACAATGTGCTTGTGTTTTAAGCTAAGTGTTATTACAAAAGAGTCAAAAATTTAAAAAAAATTAAAAAGTTTACAAAGCAAAACTCATAGACTAGCAAATCTTCAGAGACTAAAATGGTGCCTGGTAGGTAGTATTACATTGGCTCAGTTTGTGTTTCATGCATTACTTTTCTTTTAAGAAACAAGAGAATAGGGTTTATTAGAAATACAAAAGAAAGACTGTGTATTATAGCAAACCAAATAGACAACATGCCCATTATAATAATTTCTGCTAGCATTTGCCTTAGTACAATGTTAATTAATATAAACAATAATAGCCTAGACACTGTACAAGTGTTCAAAGTGCCTTCCATATCCTCACAGATTCAGTCTCTTTGGCTAAGCTCTGATGTTGTACAGGTTTTTATGTATTTTTTTAACTGGCACATAATATACATACTTATTTATGTGGTACACTATAATATTTTAATACATTTATAAAATGTGTAATAATCACATCGAGGTTTAATATATTCATCACCTCAAATATTTATCATTTGTGTTAGGAACATTCAAAATCCCCTCTTCTAGCTATTTGAAAATATGCAATAAATTATTGTTCATTATAGCCACCCCACAGGGCTATAGAACACCAGAACTTATTCATTCTATTCAGCTATAATTTTGTATTTGTTAGCCAACCTCTCCCTATTCCCCCACCCTTCCCAGCCTCTAGTAATCACTATTCTAGTCTCTCCTGCTATAAGATCAACTTTTTACATTCCATATATGAGTGAGAACATGCAATATTTGTCTTTCTGTGCCTGGTTTATTTCATTTAACATAATCGCCTCTGGTTCCATCAATGCTGCTGTAAATTACGGGATTTCATTCTTTTTTATGGCTGAATAGTATTCCATTGTACATATAAACCATATTTTCTTTATCCATTCATCTGCTGATAGACACAGGTTGATTCCATAACTTTGCTATTTTGAATAATGCTGTAATAAACATGGGAATACTGATATTTCTTTGATATACTGATTTCCTTTCCTTTGGATATATACCCAGTAGTGGGATTACTAGATCATAAGGTTGTTGTATTTTTATTTCTTTGAGGAACCTCCATACTGTTTTCTATAATGAGTGGCTTAATTTACATTCCCAACAGTATGTAAAAGTTCCCCTTTCTCTGCATCTTCACCAGCATTTGTTATTTTTTGTCTTTTTGATAATAACCATTCTAACTGGGATGAGATAGTATCTCATTGTGATTTTGATTTGCATTTCATTGATGATTAGTGATGTCGAGCACTGTTTCATTTACTTGCTGGCCTTTTGCTTGTCTTGTTTTGAGAAATGTCTGTTCAGATCACTTGCTTATTTTTTACTTGGACTATTTGGGTTTTTTTTTCTGTTGAGTTGTCTAAGTTCCTTGTTTATTCTGCATATTAACCCCTTGTCAAGTGAATAGTTGGCAAATATTTTCTCCCATTCTACAGGTTGTCTTTTCACTCTTTTGATTGTTTTTTGTTTGTTGCTCAGAATCTTTTTAGTTTGATAATATTCCATTTGTCTATTTTTACTTTTGTTGCCTGTACTTCTGAGTTCTTATCCATAAAATCTTTGCCCAGACCAATGTTCAGAAGCATTTCTCCTATGTTTTCTTCTAGAGTTTCACAGTTTCTCATCTTACTTTTAAGTCTTTAAGTGATTCTGAGTTGATTTTTATATATGGTGTGAGATGAGTCTATTTTTATTATTCTGCATATGGATATCCATTATCCTTCCTGTATAATGACAACAAATTAGTTTTAGTAGACTTTTCCCCAGCATCACTTATTGAAGAAACTCTCCTTTCCCCAGGGTATGTTCTTGGCATCCTTGTCAAAAACCAGTTGGCTGTAAAATCCATTGGTTTGTCAATTTTATATTTTCCAAAAACCAACTTTTTGTTTCCTTGATCTTTTGTATTGCTTTTAGTCTTAATTTTGTTTATTTCTGCTCTAAACTTTATTATTTCTTTTCATGTACTAATTTGGGGTTTGGTTTGTTCTTGGTTTTCTAGTTCCTTGACATGCATCAATGTTTATTTAAAATATTTTTACTTTTTTGATCTAGGCATTTACTGCTATAAACTTCACCGTTACTGCTGCTTTTGCTGTATTCCACAAGTTTAGGTTTGTTCCTATTTCAACTGTATTTGTACAGTTTCCAAAATCCCTCTTGTTTATTGATTCCTAGTTCTATTCCATTATTGTCTTAAAACATACTTGATATGATTTTGATTTTGATAAAATTTTTTGAGACTTGTTTTGTAGCCTAACACATGGTCTAACCTTAATAATGTTTCATGTGCTGGTAAGAAGAATTTATATTCTGCAGCAATTGGATGAAATGTTTGCAATATCTACTAGGTCTATTTAATCTAAAGTACAGTTTAAACCTGGTGTATTTTTGTTGAATTTCTGTCTAGATGATCTGTCCAGTGAGGGTATAGTGTTTAAGTCTTCAATTATTTTATTGGAGTCTATCTCTCCCTTTAGATCTAATAATATTCAATTTATATATCTGGGTGCTTCATTGTTGGGTATATATATATACACACACAATTGTTATATCCTCTTGCTGAATTGATTTATCATTTTATAATGATGTTCTTTATCTGTTTTACATTTTTTGATTTAAAGTATATTTTATCTCATATAAATATAGTTACTCCTGCTTGCTTTTGGTTTCCATTTGCATGACCTATATTTTTCTATCCCTTCCCTTTTAGTCTATATGTGTCTTCATAGGGGAAGTGAGTTTATTGTAGGCAACATATTGCTCCCTTTATTCTCTCTTATTGTTTATCTTTGTGGTTCGGTGGTCTTCTGTAGTGATAAGGTTCAATTCCTTTCCCCTTCTCATTTGCATATCTGCTCTATCATTGAGTTTTGTACATTCGTTTGTTGTCATAATAGTAACTATCATTCTTGTACTTCCAATGTAGAACCCCTTAATCATTTATTGTAAGACTAGTATAGTCGTGATGAATTCCTTCACTTTTTGTTTGTCTGGAATAGGTTTTATTTATCCTTCAGTTCTGTGAGATACTTTTGCTGGTTATAGTATTTTTTGGCTGGCGGGTTTTTTCCCTTCAGTACTTTGAATATATCATCCCCTTTTCTTCTAGCCTGTAATGTTTCTTTTTGAGAAATAAAATAATCTGCTATTAGTCCAATGTGGATTCCCTTATATTAAACTTGATGCTTTTCTCTTACTCTTTTTAGAATTCTCTTTGTCTTTGACTTTTGATACTTCGACTATAATGTGCCTCAGAGAGAAACGTTTTGTTTTGCATCTATTTGGGAACCAATGAGCTTCCTGGATCTAAATGTCCATATATTTTCCAAGACTTGGTAAATGTTAAGCATTTACTTCATTAAATACGTTTTTTATGCCTATTCCCATCTTTTCTCCTCTGAAGTTCCCCTAACACAAATATTTGTTCATGTAATGGTGTCCCATATGTCTTATAGGTGTTTTAAATTTTATTATTTTTTTTCTTTTTTTGGTATGTCACTGAGTTATTTCAAAAGACTTGTCTTCAAGTCCAGAAAATTTTTCTTCTGCTTAATCTAGTCTGTTGATGCTATCAGTTGTAATTTTTACTTCATTCATTAAATTCTTCAGCTTCAAGATTTCTGTTTGGATTTTTCTATGATATCTACGATATCTTCTTGAATTTCTCATTCACATCATGAATTGTTTTTCTGATTCAGTACAATTATCTGTGTTCTCTTGTATCTCATGGAGTTTCCTTAAAACCATTATTTTGCATTTATTTTCATGTATTGCATAGATTTCTTTTGGATGTATAACTGGGGAATTATAGTGTTCTTTGGAGCTGTTATGCTTTCTTGTGTTTTCATGTTTCTTGTGTCCCTACATTGATATCTGCAAATCTGGTAGAACATATGTCTCTTCCAATTTTATAGAGTAACTTTTGAAGGGAAAGACTCTTCCCTATAGATGTACCCTATATTGTTGATTGAGTAGGGTGCTTTGGCTTTGGTTTGGGATTGGTACAATAGTGCAGTTTCCATGTGATTCATTTTGCTATAATCGATGACACTGGTGTCTGCAAGTGCCTCAGTGGCCTAAACTATATGTTTTTGTGGAGATGGTAATATGGCTTTTCTGTGGGTGGGGGCCACTGAGTGAGCAGGTTCTCAGGAACTGGTGGGGGCACACACCAGTCACATTGGCTCTGTTGGTCATGGAGGCGGCATTGCTGGCAATGATGAGTGCTGGATGGGATGGTCCTTGGGCCCTGGGGTCTGTGTGCATCAATTCTCCTACCTTAGGGTCTGTCTCACCACTGTGCTGTACTGCCTGCTTCTTAGAGTGCAGGGAGCTGCATAAGCTTAAGTGCTGGTGTCATGGTTGTACTGCTGGGGCTAGCTGGGGTCATGGCACCACTTGATTGTACACCATGCCTTTTGTGTGGGCATGGTGGGATGATGGTAAGGCCTCAGAAATGTGGAGATTCAAGGGCTATTGGCCCCCAAGGCAAGATGCACTCTAACAGTGGCCCTGTTCACAAAATGGCATCTGCCATAGTAGCTTAGGTCCGTGGGAGTGGAGAGAACCCAGAAAGGGCTCCTTTTCTTAGGCAATGCAACCATATGGACTCCAGGCAGCTTCCTATATTGGGCTCAGGGCCTGGGAGAACTGTGGGGGCTCTCCTTTAGCTAGGATTTCAGGTTTCTATTCTAGTAATAGGAGCTGTTGGGAATCTCCTGCTTACCTTTTCCCCCACAAAGGGAAGATGCTTTGGGTTCTGAACTGATCTTGGCCAGGTGCTTCACTGCCTTCTGTATTCTGCCATCCCAAGTTTTCATGCTTTAGGTCTTCATCACTTCCTAATTCCAGTATTCCTCCTTAGACACTCTACTCACAGTTTACTTATTGTTTGTGTACTGCTTTATACAGAAGATGAGCACTGGGCACCTCTAGACAGCCATCTTGATGATGTCTGCCTAGCTAGGTTACTGTCACTAAACTTGTTTAACAACTAGTAGCGCCTATTTTTCAAAGAGATCATTTATTTTTTCTCTCTCTCTCTTCTCTTTCCTGCTTTTCCCCACTTTCTACTTAGTCCTTTAGAAATGCAAATATAGCCTTTTACCTCCCTTTCACCAGTCACTTGCTACAGGGCAAGTTCATCTAACTATGTGCTTAGCAGCTTCAGAAATGAACTCTCACCTACCAGGAGGTTGCCTCAAGGGATAACAGTCAATTTACAATCCAAAATATGCCTGCCCACAAAGATGCCAGCAGGCACCAGCTTGACTGGCTGGTAGACAAGGCACCAAGCTGATACACAGATCCCCTGCCAGCTCACCTACCGCCCCCCGAACCGTGCTTCTCATGTTCAGCCCAGTTTAAAAGTGCTTGCTTTCTGCTCCAAAAGTGAAGCAGCACCCTTAAGCAGGAAGCCTGTACTTCCACTAAGCTAGCTTTGGAATAAAAAATCATTTTCTTTATGCCAGACCTCACTATTGTTAATTGGACTCTACAAGTGTCCAATTAGCAACAAGTGGCAAGTGCCAAGTGGCTTAAGTTGCATTTCAAATACAGTTTCTTGGTCTGTAAAATGGGCATAATAATAATATATACCTCATCATATGGTTATAAAAATGCTGAGGCTTAGAGATGGGTAGTGACTGGGTATGTTAAATAACTAATAGGTAAATGTGGTGCTAATATTCTGGTTATACTTAAATTTGAAATCCAATATCTTTTCTTCCTGTGTAATGAATAATCAATGATATTTTTATATTTATAATAAGTGTTTATTAATGCCTGTCAATGTCATATAGAATCTAGGGTAATAACTGAAGGATGTTAAGAGTTTTCATAATTTCTTCTATGGGTGGGCAGTCATCTGGCCACTTAAGAAATATAGTAAGGTAGAGGTAATCTTGTTCCTTGGTCCTATGATCAAGTGTTTAAGTAAAGACAAGGACAGATAAATTATATGTGCATATGTTTCTGGTGATGAAGAGGTATGGGGCTCCGAAAATTGCAGGGCTTTCAAAATGCAACCCACAAAGATAACTTCAATAAATTGAGTTTTCAGGCAGTAAATTAATTTTAGGAGACTTTTTAAATATTCTTGAATCAGAAGAGATTACCTAAACATTTTACAAAATGGCTCTGAAAGTCATGTATGCTACAAATGAAGTAAAAAAACAACAATAATATTTAAATTAACACTGGATAAGATTTTAATATTGTTGGGATCAAAAGTCCCTATAGAGATGCTTTTAAAAGTTTTCCATGAAGGGAAACAGTACCTGAGGAAAGAAAACTAAATTTATTAATTGCTTATTATACTCAAGGCATTTTACATATATTTTTCTATTTAGTAGTTACAGTGACCACAAAGACTTGTATCTTCCCCAAATTAAAATGGAATAAATTGTGAAATGTTTCACACCTGGTAAGTGTCAGAGTAAGGATTCAATCCAGTTTAATCTGACACCAAAGTCCACACTCTTTCCACTTCACAAAGTTTCCAAAATAACCATATGCCCTTTTAGGGAATGATGCAACCCTGAAAATAAACCAAACCTCTGAAAACTAAAGCATCAGACTTCTGAGGAATGCTTTAAATAGAAGAACTTCTAAGAGGAAAACTCAATTTCAATAAGACATAGTGTATTTCTCATGAATTTCCTTTCCACTTCCCAACTTTGATCTCCAACATGCACGTTTTAAAGTACAAAACAAGAGAGTTTCTGATAGTCAAATAACAAGAAAAAAACATAGTAAGAATTAACATTTGATTCAGCTATAAGAGTAAAATATGTATGCTATTTTTTCAAAACAATGTTTATGTAACATCATCTGTGAATTTATATTTGACACATAAAAGTCAGCAAACAATTTACTGGCCTCAATTTTGCCAATTAAAAGCCAAACGTTCTACTCACTTACTCTAAAATTTTTCCTGTCTTTCTGCTATGGATTAGAGAAAATGAGTCTTTGTTTAGATTCTCTCTATGGATCAGTACACCTTCACTCTGTTAAGTACCTATTCCTTAAATGGACTATAAGTTTCTGCAATATTTCAGCATCTCACAAAGAGTAAATTTACTAACTTCTTTCATTCACACCTGATAAAAACTTAACAAGGAGTTATTCCCAACTTCTTTGTTTAACTATGGGTACATGTAGCATCTAATTCATCCTGGCAGGCTCCTCAGGAGAACTTGAAACATAGAATCAAACAATCCATGGGGGCACTCTGAGTTTTATAATTTTGTAGTGATGACAGGTTACATGCAGCACCTGCCTTGATGATTTTTCTAAAGTATCACAATATCTGATACATTCTAAGGGGTGTAATTTTAAGGTCTCCATCAATCACTTGTCCAGATATTGAACAAGCTCTGGAGCTCCCTTGTGAGAAGAATCTCATTTTGCCTACATGATCAAATAAATTCGCATGCAAGTGAAATCCATCAGAAAAAAATGATCTCAGCTGTTCAGCTATCATATTGGACAACCAACACTGTCCATGGTTGTGTAGTCTCGCAACATAATAATCTTTCCTAAATCAGCAATATAAGATGTAAGCAATCAGAAAATAAGATCTCATGTCTAATTTTTAATGCTTAACAAAAGCCTAGGTGAAAGAATATTTAGGGATGAAATTTAGGGAAACAATAGTTCCAAATTGAATTAACTGTCAGCTCCATCTAGAAGGCTTATTTTAAAAAAGCAGATACCTGGGCCTATTCACAATCCACAAAAATCACAATCTGTAATGAGCCCAGGAATCTGTACTTCTTAAAGTTTCCCAGATGATGCTAATCTTCCAGATTTGAGAGCAAGCCTTTGAGAATCCTAGTGGATATCCTTCTGTAGGCATAATTAATGCTAACCCTAGGCAGAGTTAGTCCTGGTACTTGAAACACAATAGCCTAGCTCTTCACAGCATCACCACCTCTGTAATATCATGTCTTCAACTTTAATGAAGCTATGCCACAAGAATGATCTAATAACTCTACTTCTATGTTCATAATAAAACTACCCATTATGCCATTCAATGTCCATAATATAAAATCTTGAGTGAAATTTTTTTCAGAATATATCAAAAGTAATTACCTCTCTTCTGACAAACTGGCATGCTTCTCCCTTTTGTATAATGAAGATGATCATAAATTTGTCCTGGCTCCTTTTTGTCTGCATTGTCAGGGATCTCAGAGTAAATTTTTATTCTCAGACACAGCAACTTTGTTATCCCTTAGGACTGATATTTTGTTTCCTCCATTTTCTTTATTCTTGAATTCTTGGTTTACATCATCATCCATTAACTTTATTATACAAATCATCTGCAGAACAGCTTGAATCTTTAGAGTGCCTATTATATATCAATAACTATGCTAAGTGCTTTATATAAAATATTTCATTCTCAATAGAAATCCAAAAGAGAGTCATTGTTATCAAACCACTTCCCACATGAGAAAACTGTTGCTTAAATAAATTAGATATTTTTCCCAATGTTAAATAAATTACATATTTTGCCAGAGTACTCTTAGTAAGTGGCACATATACAATTTAAATATAGAACCAAGAACAGATGAGCCAATTACCAGTCTGGGTGGAACCAGCTGGTTAATCAGAATGCAGGGTCAGAAAAATGCTTCAAACCAATCTTAGGTTTTACAATAGTGATGTTAATCTGTAGGAGCAATTGGGAAGGTTAGGAATCTTATGGCCTCCAGTTGCATGACTCCTGAGCCATAATTTCTAACCTGGTGGCTAGTTTGTCAGTTTTACAAAGGTGGTCTGATCTCTAAGCAAGGAGAGGGTTTGTTTTGGAAAGGGGCTGTTATCATCCTTGTTTCAAAGTTAAGCTATAAACCAAATTCCTTTCATAGTTAGCTTGGCCATGAATGAGCAAGAGCAGCTTGGAGGCTAGAAGTAAGATGGAATTGATAAGGTCAGATTTCTTCCACTTTCCTAATTTTTGCAAAGGTGGTTTTAATATTTCTAAGTGCGACGTCATTTTTATATAGCTTTATTTGTTTTATAACCTGTCAAAGATTATCTTTTACACCAAACTCTGTCAGACTCCTCTGAACTTTTTTTTCAACTAGGCCCTACCTTTTGGGCTTTCATATTTGTCTCTGTATTGTACAATTTTAGCAAGGCTCCTACTATGTCAGTTTAACCAGAATCCCTCACCCTTGATATCTGATCATCCTCAATATCGAATCAAGTTCTTCTTCCTCCCCCACCCTCCAAGTGATGTCTGATCACCCTGTTGCCTGCAGCAAGAATCTTGTTAGGCCAGTTTAGCCAGAATCCCCCTTACTCCTGACATGTCCTCTGTATTAGTTAGGGTTCTCTAGAGGGACATAACAAATAGGATATACATATATATATAAAGGGGAGTTTATTAAGTAGTATTAACTCACATGATCACAAGGTCCCACAATAGGCCATCTGCAGGCTGACGAGCGAGGAAGCCAGTGTGAGTCCCAAAGCTGAAGAACTTGGAGTCTGATGTTCAAGGACAGGAAGCATCCAGCATGGGAGAAAAATGTAGGCTGGGAGGCTAAGCCACTCTAGCCTTTTCACATTTTTCTGCCTGCTTTATATCCTGGCCATGCTGGCAGTTGATTAGATGGTGCCAACCCAGATTAAGGGTGGGTCAAACTTTACCAGCCCACTGATTCAAATGTTACTCTCCTTCGGCAACACCCTCACAGGCACACCCAGGATCAATACTTTGCATCCTTCAATCCAATCAAGTTGACACTCAGTATTAACCATCACATCCTCTTAGTAATGTTCTGTCCACTGACCTCCCCACCCACCCTACTCCTTGACTATACATTCCCACTTTTCTTCCTTTTATTTGGAGTGGAGCTCAATGTCTTTCCCCTCTGTAAAACTCCATTGTGACTTTCTCTACCTATCTTGATAGTCCCCCCGAATTGGCTACCTTATCATACTTTAACAAATGTCATGAATAAGTCTTCTCTTTAATAAATCCAAATATCCAACTATCACTACTTAAACATTTATACTTAATATATTGTTATATTTGTTGAATTCTGATTAAATTATTTCTCAACAAATCTTAGAGGTAATCAAAATTGCCTAAGTCTTGTTCCAAATATGGACTAATTATATAACTCTATGAGCAATATGATGGCTGAAAATTAATATGGTAGGCCAGAGGATAAGCATTCCACAATGCCTGTAGAGATTTCTGGTTTTGGCACTGCGGAGTTTCAAACATCATCTGTACCTAGTAGTAAACATGAAGCTGCAAAAGGAAATGCATCTAGCATCACTGTAGAAATCAGGCCAAAAGAGAAAATGTTTCAGTAATAAAAGCTATTCTCATTTTTAAACTTTTGCTGTTTTCATTCTTTGACTTGAAACATAATCAAAGAAGACTCCTATCGTCTCGTTTTGTGCTCTATTCTTCATTTCTAGGACAAATTCACTTTGTGTCTCTAATTTCTGAGGGGAATTCCCTAGTGAGGCACGTACCACTTTTGTGTTTCATATTGCTTTATCCAATGATTTGACTTGGCATCTTTTTGTCTTTAGGTAGTGTTTCATGCAGTACTCCATATTTGAATGTGAAAGAGGAGCAAAATTAAATTAAGGAAAATGAAATCAAGGAAATTAAACAATCATAGACATTAAGGCTGAACCATCTATTGAGTAACAATCTGTTTCCTTAATAAAGCAATATTGGTTCTGACTATATAAACTTAAATTGCAAAAGGCCAGTGAATAAACATCTAGTATATACACAATTCCATGCAAAATTACTCTTATTAAAAAAAATCATGAAAATTATGATGCAATAGAACAATTCCTTTATAATCATTATCTAATTACCATCTATTTCATGTAGCAAGACATTGGAGTTTCTATTACATTAACATAGGATTTAGTTGCTCTTTTCACTAACTCATGGCATTACAGGTCTTTGAACTATAAGTAACCTTAAGGTATCATCTACTTCAACTTGAGACTTGCATTCATGTCTTTATGAACATTTAAATGATGGCATTATTTAGATATTTAAATTGTGCCTATAATATTGCCTGAGATTTGTTATCCTGTATTGTAACATTCCATAAAATACAGTCTGTCTGATTTTAAATCAGTTTGTTAATACTCACCATTCTATTTATCTAGATATTGATATGTATCTAGATATTGAATCTTCAAAATTTAATAAGAATGCAAACAATAAAAACAATAAATTCAATAAAAACAAAACAGCCAATCAATTTGAACTGACATTTCACCATAGAAGATGCACAAATGGTAAATAGGCACATGCAAAAATGCTCAACATGATTACTCATTAGGGAAATACAAATGAAAACCACAATAAGATACCACTGCACACCTATAAAGATATAAATAAATATTTTACTTATCTTTTAATAAATGTTCTTAAACTTTTCATCATTTCTCCTTTGAATATGGCATACTAAAATAAAATAGTTTCTCTATTCCCAGATAGCCCATACAGTAACAAACAATAAATTGTATCTGAACTTGTTAGCAGCTTAGCGATTCAAGCACTGGTCCAGAATAAAATAAGGGCATTGCTTAAAATATGCAAACAAATAAAAACTTGACCCTCAAAACAAGCAAATCAGATTCTCTCTTCCTTATCACCCATTACACACAATATTATATTACATTATAACACAATTTTTAAAATTATGCACATAGAGGGGAATGGAGGGGGAGAAAAAAAAATGACAGTTTACCAAACCAATATACTTTAGCAAATCAAATACAAAGTTATATTATGACTAATGGACTATATCCTAGAAAGACAAGGTTGGTTAAACATTCAAAATTAATTGAAATTGTTCATTGTTTTAAATGACTCAAACATTTAAAAAACACATAATCATGTAAATAAATGAAGAAAAAACATTTGCAAAAATTCAACATTCATTTCTAATAAAACCTTCAGTAAACTAGGAATAGAAGGGACTAAAAGGGGACAGAAACTTCCTATGTCTGACAAAAAGCATCTATGAAAAAATCTGTAGCTAACATCATACTTCACAATGAAAAGCTAACTGCTTTCCCTTTATGTTTAACAACATGTTTAACTAATTGCTTTCCCCTTATGTTAAAGATGTCTAATCTCAACACTTCTATTCAACATTATGCTACAAGTTCTAGCCAGGAAACAGGAAATAAAATACATCAGAATTGGAAAGTAAGAAATAAAACTATCTTTATTTGTTCTAGATATGATTATGCAAAAAGGTCTTTGGAATCTACAAAAATCTATTAAGACTAATAGGTAAGTTTAGCAGGGTTGCTTAATACAGGTTATATAGTAGGAAAAAAGGTAGTAATTCTATGTACCTATAATGAAGAATTGGAATTTGCAACTAGTAAAAAGTATTTTTTTCAAAATCATAAAATATATTAAATTTTATTGATAAATTTGACCCAAAAATGTATAAGACCTATACACGGAAAACTATAAACCATTGCTGAGAGGAATTAAACAAGGCTAATCAAATGGAGAAATGTACCACATCCATGGATAGGGGAACTTAACTTGTTAAGATTGTCAGTTATCTTCGAGTTTTTCTACTGATTCAGTGCAATCTAAACGGAAATCCAATGAGCTTAGTTTTTTAATTGACATACTGATTTTTCAGTGTAAATGAAAATACAAAGTACCTAGAATAGCTAACACAATTTTGGAGAAAAATGTAATTTTGGAGGATTTTGACTACCTAACTTCAAGAATTAAAATGTGTCAGTAATACAGATAACATGGCATTGATCTTAAAGTAGGAAAATAGATAACTGGAGTAGAATAGGCAGTCCAGAAATATATCCTAATATATATGATCAACTGTTTTTTTAAAAATGCAAATACAATTCAATGGTAAAAGAATAGTTGTTTTTAACAAATCATGCTGGAAAAAATTGGGTTTCTATATGCTAATAAAAAAGAACCTCTCTACATCAAATACCATATTACAAAAGTTTAAAAATATGGATCATAGACCTAAATGTAAAATCTAAAGTTAAAAAACTTCTAGAAGAAAATCGACAAGTAATATTTGTGACATTGTTTTAGAAAAATATTTCTTAGATATGAAACCAAAGCTAAACTATACAAGAATAATTAATGATTTGAACTTCTTCAAAATTAAGCACTGTACTCTACCGGACACAGTTAAGAGAATGAAATAAAAGGTAAAGATTCATAGAACATATTTTCAAGTCATATCTCTGATAAACAACTTGTATCCAGTATAAATATACAAATAATCTTCAAAAGTCAATAAAAAGAATGCAAACAATTCAATAAAAACAAACAAAAAAGGCAATCAGTTTGAACTGACATTTCACCATAGAAGATGTGCAAATAGTAAATAGGCACATGCAAAAATGCTCAACATGATTACACATTAGGGAAATAGAAATGAAAACCCTAATAAGACACCACTGCACACCTATTAGAATAGCTAAAATGTAAAAGAATGATTATACCACATCTTGGTAAGGATGCAGAGCCACTGTTACACTCATTCACTGCTGTTTGGAATGTAAAATTGCATAGCAAATTTGGAAAACAAGGTTTCATTTTCTTAAAATTTAAACATACATCATTCCACTTCTAAATATTTACCTGAGAGAAATGAAAACAGAGCATATGTACACAAAGAATACTTGAATATTGTATTAGTTCGTATTCATGATGCTGATAAAGACATACCCAAGACTGGGAAATTTACAAAAGAAAGAGATTTAATGGACCTCTTCCACGTGGCTGGGGAGGCCTCACAATCATCACAGAAGGCAAGGAGGAGCAAGTCACATCTTACATGGATGGCAGTGGGCAAAGAGAGAGAGCTTGTGTAGGGGAGCTCCCCTTTTTAAAACCATGATATCTCATGAGACTTATTCACTATCACAGAACAGCATGGGAAAGACCTGCCCCCATGATTCAGTTACCTCCCACTGGGTCCCTCCCATAACACATGGGAATTCAAAATGAGATATGGGTGGGGATACAGCCAGAACACATCATTCTGCCCAGGCCCCTCCCAAATCTCATGTCCTCACATTTCAAAACCAATCATGCCTTCCCAACAGTCCCCCAAAGTCCTAACTCATTTCAGCATTAACTAAAATGTCCACAATCCAAAGTCTCATCCGAGACAAGGCAAGTCCCTTGTGCCCATGAGCCTGTAAAATCAAAAGCAGATTGTTACTTCCCAGATACAATGGGGGTACAGGCATTGGGTAAATACAGCCATTCCAAATGGAAGAAATTGACCAAAACAAAGGGGCTACAGGCCCCATGGAAGTCCAAAATCCAGCAGGGCAGTCAAATCTTAAAGCTCCAAAATGATCTCCTTAGACTGCATGTCTCACATCTATGTTATGCTGATGCAAGAGGTGATGCAAGAGGGGCAGCTATGCCCCTGTGGCTTTGGTTTCACGGGCTGGTGTTGAGCATCTGCAGTTTTTCCAGGTACATGGTGCAAGCTGTTGGTGGATCTACCATTCTGGGGTCTGGAGGACAGTGGCCCTCTTCTCACAGCTCCACCAGGCAGTGCCCCAGTGAGGACTCTGTGTGGGGGCTCTGACCCCAAACTTTCCTTCTGCACTACCCTAGCAGAGGTTCTCCATGAGAGACCCACCCCTGCAGCAAACTTCTGCCTGGGCTTCCAGTAGTTTTCATACATCTTCTGAAATCTAGGCAGAGGTTCCCAAACCTCAATTCTTGACTTCTGTGAACTGGCAGGCTCAACACCATGTAGAAGCTGCTAAGGCTTGGGGTTTCCACTCTCTGAAGCAACAGCCTGAGCTGTACATTGGCCTCTTTTAGTCATGGCTGGAGTGGCTGAAATGAAAGACACCAAGTCCCTAGAGTGCACACAGCTGAGGGACCCTGTGCCTGGCCCACAAAACCATTTTTTCCTCCTAAGCCTCTGGGTCTGTGATGAGAGGGTCTACCACAAATGTCTCCAACATGCCCTGGAGACATTTTCCCCATTATCTCAGTGATTAACATTCAGCTCCTTGTTATTTACTCAAATTTCTGCAGCTGGCTTGAATTTCTCCTTAGAAAATGGGATTTTTCTTTTCTATCACATTGTCATGCTGCAAATTTTCCAAACTTTTATGCTCTATTTCACTTTTAAAACTGGATGCCTTTAACAGCACCTGTTTAAGTTTTGCTGCTTAAAAATTTCTTCTGCCAGATACCCTAAATCATCTCTCTCAAGTTCAAAGTTCCACAAATCTCTAGGGCAGGGGCAAGAAGCCACCAGTCTGTTTGCTAAAACATAACAAGAGTCCCCTCTGCTCCACTTCCCAACAAGTTCCTCATTTCCATCTGAGACCACCTCAACCTGGGCTTTATTGTCAATATTGCTATCAGCATTTTGGGCAAAGCCAATCAACAAGTTTCTAGGAAGTTCCAAACTTTCCCACATTTTCCTGTCTTCTTCTGAGCCCTCCAAACTGTTCCAAGCTCTGCATGTTACCCAGTTTCAAAATTGCTTTCACATTGTTGGGTATCTTTTCAGCAGTGCCCCACTCTACTGGTACCAATTTACTGCATTACTCTGTTTTCATGCTGCTGATAAAGACATACCCAAGGCTGGGCAATTTACAAAAGAAAGAGGTTTAAAGGACTTGCAGTTCCACATGGCTGAGGAAGCCTCACAATCATGGTGGAAGGCAAGGAGGAGCAAGTCATGTCTTACATGGATGGCAGCAGGCAAAGAGAGAGAGAGCTCATGCAGGGGAGCTCCTCTTTTGTAAAACCATCATATCTCATGAGACTTATTCACTATCACATGAACAGCATGGGAAAGACTTGCCCCCATGATTCAATTAACTCCCACCAGCTCCCTCCCACAACACATGAGAATTAAAGATGAGATTTAGGAGCAGGCACAGCCAAACCATATCAAATGTGAATGTTTATAGCACTATTGGATTAGCCGAAACTACCCAAATACCCATCAACAAATGTTGGTGCATCCATACAATGGAATACTATTCAGCAATAAAATGGAACAATCTATTGATACACACACAATATAGATGAATCTCTACATAATTATACTGCATTAAAGAAGCCAGACAGTAAGAATTCATATTCCATATAAATAAAATTCTATAAAACACAAACTAATCCATAGTGACTACGAACATATCACTTTCAGCCTGGGTTTAGGTGACAAGGATGAAGGGTGGGGCATAACAGGAATATAAAGAAACTTTTGGGAATGGCAGATACGTTCATCATGTTCATAGGTTCATTATGATAATTTCACAGATCTATATAGATGTTATAACATAAAAACTGAACACTTAAAAATGAGAAGTCTATTGTATGTCATTTATACTTCAGTAAAGCTGTTTAAAAATACTGTAATATATAAAATACATTGGTCTGTACCACACATGAAAATGTAAAAACATGAAATGATAAATGTTAATTAATTTAATTACTCTACAATGTAAATATATCAAAACTTCATATTGTACCCCATAGACAATTGACAATTATTCATCAATTAAGAGTAAAATTTTAAAAATATAAAAATTTCTTAATATAGTAAAATGTTGGATTCCAATCTTCTAGAAAATTATAAGCAACTGTTAAAATATAGATGTTGCAAAGATAGTATAGAAAAATCATAATACTTGCTAGGCCGAACCTTATTAGCCAATGTAAAAGCATACTTCAGCCACTATTTTTTTTTTAGTATTTTGGAAGAAACATGATTAAAGACATGAGGTTCAAATAATATTTTTTGTTACAAATATGGAGTGGGATTGAGAACGAAAGTTGAAGAAAGAGACGGGTTGAGAAAAGAAAATTAATTGGGGACCAGTTAAGACATTAAAATGAGGCCAACACGTCCCTAAAATAGGAAATTCAGGGCAGTAATTTTCTGGGCAGTTAAGGGGCTAGTAGAAACTGTATACCAAAGATGATTCGGAGAAAAAAGGGACTGGAAATACATGAGCAGAAGAGAAGAAAACTCATTTAATCCAGATGTGAAAACTGGTATTTCTATTAGGGCTATCCCAGGATGAATTGACTTACTATTGTTAAACTGTTACCTGATAGAAATCTAATTTAAGATTTATGTTCCAGAAAATCTTTGAAAACTGAAGGAAGATTGTGTGTGTGTGACTTTGCATTTAGGTAAAAACTTCTACCTTGACATGTCTATCCACAGACAAAAGCATAATTTTGTAGAAATTTGGCATTTTATTTTACATTCAACAGAAACAGATATAGTACACAGACTTGTAGGCCAGAATTTGACATGACAATTGTTTTGTATGTGCTGTAAGAGTTCTGAACTTTACGCCAGTATATACACCACATAGATACCCAATAACACATACCTATCATTTATACCCTGCTGATTTCCAAAATGAAGCACCAGCAACTCACCCTAAAATATATAATTTTAGTTACATGAACTAGAAAGAAATGAATAAAGAAAACATCACTAGATTGAATTTTTCAATGTAAAATTTACCTCTGTCTTCTGACACATCTGTAAGCATCAAATTTAGGTGAAAAAATATTTTATCACTACAAATATCTAATCACATGAGATAGAGCTTCCTATAAGTGGCATTGGTAGTGCCATGAATCTATTTCTCATAATGGTTTTATGGAATATAAATTTTAAAATTCTGTCTCTTTTTAAGGGCCTACAACCTAATTGGAGTGTGTAGCCTTTCAAATAATTATGTAAGGTTCTTGGTAAACCAGTCTGCCTTGCTTCTTTCTGGTAAAGGCCTTGGGAAATGGCCAGGACAATCATATGGATATTCCCAATATTTCACTCTCAAGAGTACATCAGTTACGATGATAATTTATGTGGCCATTCTATGAATGGCTCACATGTAAGATTCAATGGCAAATGTCACCATACCTATAGAAGCCTCAAAGCTCCATAGTTCTTAGAAATGGTAGGTCCCTTTTAAAAATTCAGTTTAATTTCTTTCTATTGATAAAAGTCAAAAAGAAAGAAAAATATTGATATGTACTAAAAAAGGCATATGAAAAGTCTAGAAAATCCTAATTATGTTATTTGTATTTCTCTTTGGGAAGTTCTTTTCTCTGATACTTCTTTTCCTCTCCTGGCACCATCACTGTTCTTTAGAACACCTGTTATTATTATAAGCAAATTTCCTCGTATTTAAATATATAACCACAGTCCTGGCACAATGCCTACTGATAGCAAGATAAAGTTGTCCATGTTGAAAATTCATTCATAAGAATGTTAGAAATATGCATTTGTTTCCACATATCAAGGTTATTATTTCATTGCCTCATTTGAAGTTTTATTTTTTGGTGGCTAAGAAAACTCCACATCAGAGCCCTAGTGAGAGAGAAATAATTGGGGCCCAGGCACAGGGCAGGAAGCTCATGTGGCACAGTAAGAGGCTGGTTGGCAACAGAAGAGAGCAGGAACAGCAGAATTCTTATATCCATCACATTTCATGAGGTCAGCAAACAACAGAACTGTGTTTGCAGACCTGACTTTTTATTTCTGTGTGTGTTAGTAAAAAGGTAAAAATATTGGTTCCTTTTCAGAACCCTTAATTATTAATATGCACGAAATTTCAATTTTTCAGAAATGCAGAGTCTATCTATATATTAAGGTATGCTTTAAAAGAATCCTTCAATTTCCTGGTCCAAGACACATGGATGCACAAATACTAAACTGTTTCCCCATGCATGGGCCATGCTGTGAGGCAGCACCAGGGCGCAGGCTGTGGAGGCGAGATATTTATTCTGGGGCATTGTTGATGGTATGACCAGCGGAGGCCAAGAAGGATTGTTGGTGTTGGATGCCAGAGCCAAGTATGATTTGAAGTTCTAAGTGGAAAGTGTGCCTGAGACAGAAAAATCAATAAGAACTAGAAAAGTACTGTGTAAAGTAGGTCAAATGTGATTAAGAGTAGAAACTAGGAGCAATTTGTGGGCATTACAGTTCAATTTTTATGCAGTTGGGAAAGATTTCATGACTTTAAAATGCTGAGTAGGGGCATATATTTAAGGCAACAAATGCTTTCTTTCTAAGCATTGGTTGTTTTTTTTTTTAAATCATAATTTGATTTATGCAGCATCCAAGTGGTTAAACAATAGTAATCATTTGGTCTGCTTAATAAGGAAAATAAACTGTTTTGTTTTTCTTCCTTTGCTACATTACACACATGAAAAGTCAGTTGAGTTTTTGTCCACCTACTACAACCAGAGCTTATTCTAAAACAACTTTCCTTTTTTAAATATGTAATTTTAACTTTTAGTTTAGATTCAGGGGGTACATGTGCAGGTTTGTTACATGGGTATATTGCATGATACTGAGGTTTGAGGTACAAATGATCTTGTCACCCGGGTAGTGATCCAATAGTTTTTCAACCCTTGCCCCCTTCCCTCCCCACCCCAGTAGTCCCCAGTGTCTATTACTGCCATCTTTGTGTCTATGAATACCCAATGTTTAGCTTCCACTTGTAAGTGAGAACATGTGGTATTTGGTTTTCTGTTCCTTAATTTGCTTAGGATAATGGCCTCCAGCCGCATCCAT
Source organism: Homo sapiens (assembly GCF_000001405.40). Classification (NCBI taxonomy): domain Eukaryota; kingdom Metazoa; phylum Chordata; class Mammalia; order Primates; family Hominidae; genus Homo; species Homo sapiens. The sequence continues at coordinate 33,546,553 of NC_000012.12, read as the reverse complement.
GTTGCTGCAAAGGAAATGATTTCATTCTTAAAACCACTTTCATTAATTATTGAATATTTATTATGTTCTAGGCAATGGTGATACAGAAAAACAAAATAGAAAAGGCACATCTTTTATGGAGCATAGGTTCTAGACAAAAGTGCCAACAATACACAAAGTAAATAAGTAAAGATATACATGCTAGAAAATTATGATCATCAAGAGAAAAATATAAAACACAAAGCGATGGGCACTGACATTTTCAATTGGTTGAGGAAAGCGTCACTGAAAATGTGGCATACGAGTGAAGACAGGAAGGAAAGGAGGCAGCAAAAACATGTGGATATCTGAGCAAAGAGCATTCTAGCCTAAGGGCACAGCTGGTGCAAAGGGACCAGGTGGGAGGCTGCTTGACCTATTATTAGAGGCATATTTGTGTTGAAAACAAAGTGAATAGGATAAGAAGTCAGAGAAGTGACTGGGTAAGATCATATTAGAGATTATGAAAACCCTTGTAAGGTTAACAAAATTAATTTGGCCTTCATTGAGTGAGATGAATGGCAATTACAGCATTTTGAACAGAGGAGTGATATGCCTTGTATTTTAAAATGTACTAGACATGCTTTAATAAGATGGCTCAGGCTACTCTATTGACATAGACACAGGAAAAGAATGGAAGCAGAGAAACCTGTGAAGAGGCCATTATAAAACCAAAGCAAGAGTTGAGAGTGACTTGGACCAGGATGGTAGCATAGGAGGTGGTAAGAAATGATCAGAGTCTGGATCTATTTTAAAGCAGAAATGGTTGAATTTGCCAATGTGGGTGAGTGTAAGATAAACAGAAGAGTCAAGATAAAGTTATAGCTTCTGGCCTGAAAGATAGAATTTCTATTAAGTAAGATGAGGAAGACTCATAAGAAGGAAAAAAAAAGGAGGGAATAAGGAACTCAGTTTTGTACATATTACATTTGGTGCACTGTTTTAACATCTGAATAATCTCTTCCAGTTTGTTATCCTTTTAGAGCTAAAGAACTCTTACTCCATCTACACCAGGCCTCAACTGCTAGATTCACACTTTGCATGGCCCACATCTGACTATCCTGTGTGTATACAATGCTCCAAGATATCCATAAGCCAGGAGTGGGAACATGGTTGGGAAGCTCCTCAATTTGTGCTGGACACAGTTGTGTTCTGGGATGAAAGATCATTGGACTAATGGTTGGTGACACTATACACTGCAGTCTCCTGTGAAAGTATGTACGTTTTATTGGTAATATAAAAGAAAAAGACATCACTATCTAGTTAGTATTTTATTATTTTGTTTATCCCATTTTCCAAGGCCCCTAGAATACAGACCCTCAGAAAGCATAGTCCTTGTCTGTCTTGTATGAGTAGCCTAGAACAGTGCCAATGACAATAAAATCCTATGAAAAACTAATCGATTATGTGTTCATGTTAACTAAAAATCTGCTCAGTACTTTAGAGAATTACTGTTTTGCATAAAATAACATGATATGGTTTGGATATTTGTCCCCTCCAAATCTCATGTTTAAATGCAATCCCCAGTGTTGAAGTGGAGCCTGGTGGGAGTTTTTGGATCATGGGAACGGATCCCTCATGAATGGCTTAGCACCATCTCCTTGGTGATGAGTGAGTTCTTGCTCACTTAGTTCACCAAAGAACTGGTTGTTTAAAGGAGTTAGGGACCTTCCCCTTCTCTTTCTCTTGCTCTGGTTCATCCACGTGACATGCTGTCTCCCCTTCACCTCTGCCATGATTGGAAGCTTCCTGATGCTTCACCAGAAGCAGATGCCAGCACCATGCTTCCTATAAAGCCCACAGAACCATGAGCCAATCAAATTTCTTTTCCTTATAAATCACCCAGATTTAGGTACTTCTTTGTAGCAATGCAAGAATGGACTAACACATAACAATTTTCTACAAAATGAAAGATTGAACTACAAAGTAATAGAGGGTGTAATTACAGTATATCAAAATTATACTTTTTTCAGAATTTAGTTTTGTATACTATTTAGCACAAGTCTTTTAGGCAGAGATATGACATGGTCAAGTTTGTATTTTAGACCTTTCTGGAGGCAGAAGTTCTAAACCATAGAATCAAGGAAAAATATACACAAAATTTAAAGTTTCCGTTCAAATAACTGTCCCAGAAGTAAAAATTAAGCAATTTGGACATTTAATATTCCATTTCTAATTCTAATGTTATAATTTTCTTTATCTCAGATTACCATAATACGATTACTCTCCCCAGGATCATTTTGCCATTATATGCTGATAATATGAATCATCTCTTGTTTTTGAAGTGAACAGGATTATTTCACTTTGTCTTAGTTTGTTTTAGGAAGCAATGAAAACTCAAATTTGGCAAACAGTTTCAACAACTCTGTTTTGAACACTTGCTTTACAATTTTTAATTATTATCAATGAAAATAATATTGTAAGTTAATAAACTTTAAAAATGTAGCACTATATAACAACTCAAATTTTCACATTTTTTTAGTATTCCGTCCTCAGACAAACATGGAGAACATGAAGAAGAATAGAATTGGAGCTTTACTCTTCCTTGGCTTGTACTCTGGGTCTTCGTGCCCCCCTTGTGGCTCACAGAACCCTTAGAAGAGAAATGAAACTAGGTCTTGTTGTTCATTTTGGCAATATTTCTGCTGGCACATCTCTCCTTCCTTCAAAACTATTGCTTAAGTTGTCCTCTCCAGGATTTTTTTTTAATTGTAGTAAAAAACGCATAACATAAAATTTACCATCATAACCATTTTTGAGTATACAATAGACTCGTGCTAACTATATGCACCCTGTGCAATAGATCTCTAGAACATTTTCATCTTGCAAAATTGAAACTCACTGAACAACTGCCCTTTCCTCTCATCCCCAGCCCAAGAAACTGCCGTTCTACTTTTGGTTTCAAAGAGTTTGATTATATACCTCATATAAGTGGAATCATGAAGCATATGTTTTGGGGGGACTGGATTATTTCACTTTGCATAATGCCCTCAAGTTTCATCCATATTGTAGCATGGGACAGGTTTTACTTCTTTTTAAGGTTGAATCATATTGCATTGAATGTATTTACTGTGTGTTCCTCAGCCATTCATCCATCGATGGGCATTTAGATTGTGTCCACCTCTTAGCTATTGTGAATAATACTGAAGTGAATCTCTTTGAGATCCTGCTTTCAATTCTGGGACATATACCCAGAAGTGGGATTGCTCGATCATATGGTAGAGCATCACTTAATGACAGGTATACATTCCGAGAAATGCATCATTAGGGGATTTTGTCATTGTGGGAACATCATAAGAGTGTGTTTTCACAAACTTAGATAGTGTAGCCTACCATCTAGGTTATATGGTAAAGCCTACTGCTCCTAGACTACAAGCCGGTACAGCATGTTACTATACTGAGTACCGTAGGCAATTGTAACACAATGGTAAGTACTTGTCTGTCTAAAAATATCTAAAAACAGAAAAGATACAGTAAAAAAATGTATTATAATCTTATGGGACAAATGTAGTATATGTGTTCTGTTGTTAACCAAAATGTTATGTGATATATGACCTTAGTTCTAGTTTTAATTTTTTGAGAGACCTCTATACTGCTTTTCATAGTGGCTACACCATTTTACATTTCTACTAACAGTGCACAAGGGTTGAATTTCTCCAAATCCTCACCAACCCTTGTTATTTTCTGGTTTTGTTTTGTTTTTTTGACAGTGGCCATCCTAAAGGATATAAGGTGATGTCTCATTGTGGTTTTGATTTGCATTTTCCTGATGATTAGTGATGTTGAGTACCCTTTCATATGCTTGTTGCCCAGTTATACAACTTCTTTAGAGAAATGTCTATGCAAGTTCTTTGCCCATTTTCTAATTCGATATTTGTTTTATTTTGCCATTAACTTGTAGGAGCTTGTTATATTCTGGATATAAATCCCTTATAAGGTATATGATTTGCAAATACTTTCTCCCATTCCATAGGTTGCCTTTGCACTCTGTTGATTTTTTCCTTTACTGAGAAGAACTTTTTTAGTTTGATGTAGTCCCATTTGTCTATTTTCACTTCTGTTGCCTGAGCTTTGGTGTGATATCCAAAAAATCATTGCCAAGGCCAATGTCAAGAGACTTTTTTCCTATGTATTTTCCTAAGATTTTTTATTGTTTCAGGCTATAGGTTTAGGTCACTGTTCTCTTTTGAATTAATTTTCATATAAGATGTAAGGTAAGGATCCAATTTCATTTCTATGCACATGAATAACCAATTTTCCCAGCACCATTTATTAAAGAAACTGTCCTTTGCCCATTGTGTAGTCCTGGTACCCTTGTTGATGATCATTTACTATATATGTAAGGGATTTTTCTGGGCTCTCTGTTCCATCGATCTATATGTCTGCTTTATGCCAGTACCATACTGTTTTGAATATTATAACTTTGTAATATGTTTTTAAGTCAGGAAATGTGAGGCTGCCAGCTTTATTTTTCTTTCTGAAGATTGTTTTGGCTATTCAGAGCTCTTTGAGATTTTATATGAATTTTAGGATTGGATTTGCTACCTCTGCAAAAAAATGTTATTGAGATTTTGATAAAGATTGCATTTAATCTGAGAATTGCTTTGATAAAGATTGCATTTAATCTGAGAATTGCTTTGCATATTTTAACAATATTGTCTTTAATGAACATGAGTTTTTTTCTGTTTAAATTTCTTCCATAAATGATTTGTTATTTTAGTGTAAAAGTCTTTTGCCACTTTTATTTCTAAGTATTTTATTCTTTTTGGTGTTGTTGCAAATGGAGTTGCTTTCCTAGTTTCCTTTTCATAAAGTTTATTTTTAGTGTATATCAACACATCTGGTTTTTGTAACATTGGTTTTACGTCCTGCAAGTTTGCTGTGTTTGTTAGTTCTAACAGATTTTATTGTGTGTGAAATCATTAGAGTTTTCTATGTAAATACTCATGTCATCTGACAACACAGATAACTTTACTTTTTTCCTTTACAATTTGGATGCCTTTTACTTCTTTTTTCTTTTTATGCCTAATTTTCTCACTTTCAGTTACAACATGTCCAAGCTCCTTAGGATGACATTTGAAGTTCTGATCTGATCTCTATTGGCCTAATTTTCTTATACTCCCTGCCTCACATTTTATTCCCTGGGAAAACAAGACATGTTTTCTTGATTTATGCCTTAGTTTCAAACCAGCTCCCTCCCCACTGCCACTCTTCTCCTACTAAAGTTCACTCTTTCTAGGTACATGAAGTGGCTACTTTAGGGACCCCCCTACATCATTTCACCAGGCTAAGCACCTGCCTTTAAGTTCCCAAATCTATATACAGAGAAAAGATATGAAACTGGTGAAGCACTGAGACTCTAGTATACCAAAGCAGTCTGGGTTTTTCTTAGTTTTACCTCTAGGAACTCAGATAAGTCACTCCTTTACCCCCATAACCTTCAGTGTCCTCATTTGTATTATGGGGATAAAAATAGTATCTTCTTCATGAAGTTAAAAAGAATAAGTAAGATTAAGCCTCAAAGTTGCCATAATTATTATCATCACTAGTATGTGCCTGTTTTTCCACTCTCAGTCCCATTTAGTTGAGCATTTATTAGGTTTTCAATAAATAGTTCTTGACTGAAGTTCCTCTTTTTTGCATATCTGACATTATTTTTAAAGAGAATATAAGAGACTAGATGTTGTCAAATAGTAGATGCTACAAAAATAAGAAATCATTGTAATTATATTGATCCCACTCAACGTTTAATTTTCTTCAGGTAGTTATCTAGATATGTTATCTAGATATTATTTTAATTTTCTGAAATAAAAAGTTTTAGAGGCAGGTAACGGAAAATTATTATTGATGAAATATTACTCCTCTGCAGCATAATTAAGCTGCAAAATCTGTTTAGCTCTACTGGGAAAAAATAGATTTGTTTTAAATCTTTAAAAATTATCATGTTTTTATTTTATGTAATCAAGAAGAAAAAATAAGTATCTGAGTTCACTTTACCTGTAAACAAAAATGGAGGCAAAACAGATATATTCAGTGATTTTCCACTAACAGCCATTAGCAACTGATCTCAAACTTCCTCTCTAACCTTTTCATTCACCACCAGCTTTCTTCCTATTCTGTCCGGGTCATTTATCACCCTTCCCACACCACTAAGTCCAACCCATTCCTACCTGCCTCACTTTCAGTAGATGATTTCACTTTACGCTTACATAAGGAAATAAATACCATAAGACTCCCCCAACTTTCCATCCCTCCTTGACACTTTTTCTTTCTTTTCTTTCTTTCTTTTTCTTTCTTTCTTGGTGTTTTTTGTTTTGTTTTTTACTTTAAGTTCTGGGTTACATGTGCAGAATGTGCAGTTTTGTTACATGTGCCCAGGTGGTTTGCTGGGACCCATTAACCCGTCACCTACATTAGGTATTTCTCCTAATGTTATCACTCCCCTAGCCCCCCACCCACCGACAGGCCCCGGTGTGTGATGTTCCCCTCCCTGTGTCCATGTGTTCTTGCCTGCTAAGATGGCTCTCCTCCTCTGTCCTTGATTACATTCCCTGCCTCCTGACTCTATTCTCTACCTCCTCCTGAAGGATTTTGCTCTATCCATTGTCCCTTCTTTTAGATTTTCAATCTTTCACATTCTGATTCCTTGAATCCCATCTATAAACAAGTTCAAGTCCTCCTAGTCCTTAAGTACCTTTCATCTGATCCTTTTTCCTCCAGCTCCTGGCCCACCTCACTCCATTCATTTTTCATAAGATGTTTGAAGGGTAAACCTACATTCTGTTTGACTTTTTAAACTCCCACTCCTTTCTGAGTCTTAATGCACATCTGATTCCTGCTCTTATTGTGCCACTGAAATTATTCATCCTGTTAACCATAGTATCCTAATTTCCAATTGCTATTTATAATGGCCTCTTCTCATCTCATAGCTGTAAAAAGATAAATTTTGGCACACTGAAATTTTTAAAAAGTTGGGGCCAGGTGCAGTGGCACATGCTTATAATGGGAAGCCAAGGCCAGAGGATTGCTTGAGCCCAGGAGTTCGAGACCTTTTGAGACCAGCCTGGACAATGTAGAGAGACCACATCTCTGCAAAAATAAAAATAAAAATAAAAATAAAAGTAATTATCCAGGCATGGTGGCGTGTGCCTGTAGTCCAGGAGGCTGAGGTGGGAGGATTTCTTGAGCCAGGAGGTCAAGGTGCAGTAAGCTGTGATCGTACCACTGCACTCCATCCTGGGCAATAGAGCAAGACCCTGTCTCAAAAAAGAAAAAAAAGACAGAAAGAAAAACAAGTCTCAGAAGACTACTTGCAATACAAAGCAGTTTTATAAAATTTGAAAATAATCAAACTTGAAAATATAGTATTCAAATATATACACAGATATTCTAAAACTAATTTTTATGTTTGTGTATTGCAAACATAAAATTCATGAGATTCTTTGTTGGAAGGCAGGGGAAGATTCACAAAGAAAAGACAGCAGAATTGATAATGACCTAGTTCAAATGGAGTATATGTATGTTATATACAGTGTTTTGTAACTACCAATTGAAAAATTAAAAAGAAATGAAAGATGTTATGTTGCTTTCAATGGGTTCTCAATTTATTAAGATGTGAATAGCAGCATTAATATTTTTAAATGGCAGCCTGAATTCTCATCTCCATTTTTCCTTTAGATGATATGAAATATATATCCTACAATTTGAGTTTTTTCTCATCATTTGTGTTACATAAGTGTCAATTAAAAAAAGCAATTTCAATTAATTTGTAAATGAGATTTAGAAAGAAATAAGCAGTAAATTTTAATCATGTCTAAAAAGGCACAGCACACAATAACTAGTTCTATTTGAATATTTTAAATAAAGTACGAGAGGACAGAATCCTTACTTTTGTGGTTGCTCTAAAATATTGTCTATTTCTACCTTTGGAAGTAGGACATACTGCTTTCATTGAACATGGGGGCTCTGGAGCTATATTGTGTTTGTTGAAATCCTGGCTTCCTTAAACCAATAAAGAAAGGCTTTGAGTGAGGAAAGATTAACATTTTATTTTCTGGTAGGACACTCACTTCACTTTGCTACTAAGCTTGCTCACCTGCATCTGGACCAATGGGACAGAAGATAGGACACTGGAGATGTGGCCAAGAGATAGGGGTCAGAATCTGCTCTTCTAGGTTCCATACCAAGTAATTCAGAAAATGAGCCCATATTTGTCCGAGAAAGTTGGAATCTTGCTTGTTTCCATGTGGGTCAGGTGTGGGCCAATGGATATTCTAACAGTGCCCCTGGACAAGGGGGCCAAGCTGGATCAAACGATCCAAAGACTCAACAGCAACTTCACTGCAGGAAATCCTATAGGAAACATGTGTCTTGTTTTCTCTATTCTTTGCCCCAACAGTAAGTCAGAACCCATACCATGGAGCCATGTAGTCAAAGCATAGCCACAGTGTCATGTGTCTAACTTATGCTTGGGGAAAATAAAAATTTAAATAAACTGGAAAGCGAAGTTTTAAATGTACAGAATTAGACCCAAAATTCAAGTGAGATGATTTTAAAATAAATCCCATAATATTTTAAGGGAGAATAGGTAAAGCAAAATCCTTGAGGAGGAGGTGGAGAATAGTCAGGATGCAGGGAATATGATCAAGGACAGAGGAAGAGAGTCATCTTAGCAGGCAAGAACACATGGACACAGGGAGGGGAACATCACACACTGGGCCTGTCGGTGGGTGGGGGGGTTAGGGGAGTGATAACATTAGGAGAAATACCTAATGTAGGTGACGGGTTGATGGTTGCAGCAAACCACCTGGGCACGTGTAACAAAACTGCACATTCTGCACATGTAACCCAGAACTTAAAGTAAAAAGACAAACACCCACCACCAAAAAAAAAATATAACAATAAATTAAAAATTAAAAAATAAAGTGTCAAGGAGGGATGCAAAGTTGGGGGAGTCTTATGGTATTTATTTATGGTATTTATTTCTAGCAAATGGCTAGAAATATGGTATTTATTTCTAGCAAATGGCTAGAAACATGGTATTTATTTCTAGCAAAAGGCTAGAAATCAGATTGCCATGCTTCTAAGGGAGCACCTTCTCCAGATGGAAAGGGATTTGACAAGGCACTGTTGGTAACAATTTTTTGGGGAGGAAAGCTTACATTTAATCCTTATGAAGTGTGACTGCTTATTAAATTGATCAAAGCTCTATTAGAACATGAACATGTTACTGATAAGACTATCACATGAAGCAGTTAAGTAATTAAAATCTGATTTGCCATGCTGCCCATGAACCCTTAACAATGTGTTTTTGAATGAAGGCAGGGAAGATGAGAGAGGTGGCACCATGAAATTTTTGATTTCAACAAACTAAGGAATAGGTTAAAAAAAAAAAGGCAAAAGATCTGTTTTAAGGAGAGCTTCAAATAGAATCAAAGTTAAGTCTGTGCACCTAATAAAGCTGTGTGGTGTTATGGTATTATTATTGAGGGAGAGAATCTATGGTTTCCCTAAATTATACATGTATCAGCAATATCATCAACACCTTCAGGATTCTACACGTCCAAAATCTAACTGCCAAACACAGCCCTGGGTAATGACAGAGCTGGTCTCTGGGGAAATCGTCCAGGGGACAGTTGTGGATTAAAGACGGGTAGTCAGAGGAAAGAATAAATTGATGACAGACACAAGGTAAGCAATGATTGCTTTGGGGTAGGAATAGAAGAACACAGAGGGGAGAGAAAATAGTACTTACCTAGAATACCCAAGTGCAAAAAGAGCAAAAGTGCCATTAGAAAAGTGTGCCTAGAGGGTCTCTCTGAGCCTCCTCTGGCTCAAGAGGCTGCCAAATTCGTGAATCATTCTTTGCTCAATTAAACTCTGTTAAATTTTATTCAGCTAAGAATTTTCTTTTCACAGATGTGTCAGAAGTGGGATCTGAAGTACAGCTTCTAATGACCCCCAGGAGTGCTGAGTGACCAAGAAAGGTACCCACTGCACCCATTTGTCTCCATTGCTCTCTCACAGCACTGGGATCATGGTAAGTTCTCTCTCAGACTCTGAAGCCCCATAGAGTTTTGTTTTGAGCTCTCCAAGTTTCTTTGAACAAATTCTGATCCAAACTGGGTTTGGAAGTTGTGACAGAAACTGGACTGAGTCCAGGATTGGATTCTATATTAACTGGCTTAGATCCATAAAAGAGGCCTCTTATGTCTGACTGGATCAGAAAGAAACTGGTAGTAAATGGCAGTATCGCAGAGGGTATAAACTTTGGCTTTTAAAAGTTTGCAGGAATTTTTGTGTTCTACCACCTTTCTTTTTCTTGCATGCTTGGGTAGGAAAAAAATCATTGGCTAAGTTAATCAAGGAGATCTGAAAACCAAGGTAAATATGTGAGGTAAAAATGGAATCCTTAGTTTCTGGAGAACTGAGTACCTTCCAGCTTACACATGCATAAATAAGTATTAGGCCCTGGAAGCAGCAAAGTCTTAGAGAAATCGTAAAATCTTACTAAAGATTACTTACAGTGGAAGATTCCAAATGAACAAACTGTACTGAAGAAGCACATTTGAAAATGAGGGCTCTCAAACTAGTGTCTTATCTAGGGATGCCTATTGAGAGGCAGAAGCTTTTAAAACGATTTCAATATTTTTATTTAAAAACAAATAAAAAGCTTAAGTGACTAACTGATAAGAAAAATTAAATCTGCTAACCTTTTGGCTTAGTTACTATCCTGCCCCGAAGGTGAAAAGAAAACTATCCTAGAGAAAGTGCTTATAAAAGGTAGGCCCTCAGGTAAAATAGGCTTGCTTCTTTTTCAGATCTATCCATGCTGAGTCCAGGCCTAGGGAATGCCTTCTTTGCCCTATTCCTTGATGGGTTCCACCCTTAACTCAGTAATTTTAGCTAAGAAACAGTAGCTAAGTTAAAAAGAACACCTATCAAACTAAAATACACCTTTCTGGAATTTAATTGGCTATCTTAAAACCCTTTTGTAAAAAATAATTACATCTATTAAGGAAATCTCCATGTTTAAGGATGTCTGCCTATGTACATTAGAAACTCTTACCATTGTTTTAAATTTACATAAATCATACCTTTGTTTAAGGTGAAAAAACAAAGTGTGCCTAGAGTCACAGCATCATATATTAATTCGGTACATTTATTTAAAAATGAGCATGAAGTACTTGCTCTTTATAATTTCTATTTCTTAACTATAATCACAACAGAAGTACACATTAAAGAGCCAAATAATTAGTTATCAAGACAGCATTTAAATATTTGCTGACACTCAGTATATGTTAAGGTTTGAAATGAAACAATAAAGAATTAATTTATTTAAATTTTGTGTAAATAATCTCTACTCTCTAAATCATAGCAAATAAATCAAATATAAATATTCACAACTCCAGTGGGTTACAATCTGACCCACTTACTCTTTTTCTTGCTCTTCTCATGCACTTAGTTGGAAGAACTTTCAATCAATCAGTGTTGTCTTAAGGTATTTATGAAAAAAATAATAAAATAGAGTATATCTCCATCTTAACACACATTTCCTTATTTTTACATTATGATTATGAATCCTCTTATTTTTATTTCCCACTAGACCTGGAGCTCCTTAAAGGCAAACTATTTCAAATTATTCCTCTCTGTGTTCCTTCCAGGGTCTAGCAAAGAATACTTTACACAAGGACTCACACATGGTAAATGCTCAATACATGTTGTTGAGTAATGAACATGGGACTGGAAACACTTAGGGTCACAATAAATAATTTCCTTAAAACCTAGGAAAATGATAACTTGTTGTGAGCCGTAATAGAAGGCTTATATGGGTTTGGGAGAAGAATTTTATATACATATATATATATGTATATGTATGTATGTATATATGTGTGTGTGTGTGTGTGTGTGTGTATAGATATAGATATATATATATATATATAGAGAGAGAGAGAGAGAGAGAGAGAGAGAGAGAGAGAGAGATCATATATATTCTCCCAGGAACACCTAGAACTTTTATGATATCAAAAAATATATATGGAGAAATATAGATAATAGGCAGGAGGAGGAGAGAAGTGATTTATCAAAAGTCTATGTTAAGATCTCAGTGCAGACTGAGATATTTGGAGGAGTTTGAGGGAAGGGTGCCGATTACTGAGATCCTCTGGAATGGGGTTCTCTAGAATAAGGCATGAAAAATTTTATTAGGGGTGGGGTTATAAACTGGATACCTTGTAATATTCTACATGCTTTGAGTAAAATAGTGAAACCCTTGCAAACTTCTTTTTTGCTTGTTATTATCATTATAGGTATTTATTTATGTATTTATTTATTGAGACAGAGTCTGGCTCCGTCACCAAGGCTGGAGTGCAGTGGAGGGATCTCAGCTCACTGCAACCTCCGCCTCCTGGGTTCAAGCAATTCTTCTTTCTCAGCCTCCTCCAAAGTAGCTGAGACTACAGGCCCATGCCACCATGCCCAGCTAATTTTTGCACTTTTAGTAGAGACGGGGTTTCACCACATTGGTCAGGCTGGTCTCCAACTCCTGTCCTCAGATGATCCACCTGCCTTGGCCTCTGAAAGTGCTAGGATTACAGGTGTGAGCCATTGCGCCCCAGTCTATTATAGGTCTTTAAATGTTACACCTTGTCAGGCCTGAACTCCATGAGCCCCAGATTCAATTATGTTACAGTACCTAGGAATTAATCAGTTGAAAAAAAGACTTTTATGTTTGTGCTGACTTATTCTAAGTTCTCCTGCATAAAGCCCTGCTTGCCAAAATAAATAAATAAATAAACAAATAAATAAATAAATAATAGCACTTACTCTTTTTATTTTAGCAGCTGATGATTTTCTCTTAGTCCTGGGAATAGAAGAGGTAAGTAACCTCTGGAAAGAGTAACACTGTTGCTTTCACTTTACAAATTTCATTTGAGAGAAGGTTCTTTGTGATCAGCTGTGAACATACCCTGGTATATTTCTCTGAAAGCTTAGCCCATGGGAAATCAATGACCACATTAAAGTTGATGTTGCTGAATTTTTTTAAAAAAAGGAAATCAGATTAGAAAAAGAAGGAAGGAAAAGAGACTGTGATGGGGTTTGGATCTCTCAGGCTCTGTCATTAAAATTATCACATTATGGATATGTGCATTAAAATAAGTTCTTTCATCCAAAATATATAGTGAACTCTGAACTTCCTTGCATGGGTTTACAATGTGTTACACTTCAAAATAAAAAAAAAAACAATATTACGGTTTACATTTACTGTTAGCATTTTTATGCTTAGCTTTTTTTCTTTTTTTTTTTCCTTTTCTTGCGGGGGGCGGGGTTGTTGTTTCCTTGTTTGTTTTTGCATCAACCAATATACTCAGATTCCCATTATAACTTCATCTCCCGAAGGAAAAGAGACACTAGCAAGCAATTGTTTATACCAAGGATGAAGAATATTTATTCTAAAAATACCTGAAGTTAACAAGTAAGGACAGCTTGGCTCAGCACATACAGGGGGGAAAATACCGTTTATCTGTATCAGGCCATATGCACATCTCTTCCCTCCCCCTGTCTGCATACCTCAACATCAGACCAATTTCAGCCCTTGGATATTTGATAGAATTAAAGATGGGCATTAGCCATCACCTGTAGAGAACCTACCTCTGACAAAAGAATGAGAAACAGATATGGTTTAACATGATAGTATCAAGTGAGTATACTAGGGAATTCTTGCTTAATGATTCTGAATCTTCAAATATTTTTCTCAGAAATATGGCAATGAGGAAGTAAAGTTGTTCACATTTTTCATAAAATGAATGATGGTTCACTTATACCATACAAGGTAATAAGAATTTCATCCTCAATTTAATAAATGATATTAATTTCAATCATTTCCATGTTCTTCTTAAACACATGCAATTGATTCTGACTAAAAGCTCACCCATGGCAAACTTGATTTGACCGCTGGAGGCTAGAACTCTTAATTAGCTGTGATGTAGACACCAAAACTAAGGTTCTTTAGCTCATTTAGGTCAGTTATATTTGCTATTCTCACACCTGTACATGAAGAAAATTTTGCCTATTTCCAAACACTGATTTTTAACCCTTACAGGACTAACAGTTTTCTAGGAATATTTGCTATTCTTATTATTTCTGCTTGATATTGCCCACAGGGATGTTTTTTAGGACTAAGTATTCCCCACTTCTTTCTTTGACTTTTTGTAGCATATAAAACAAACAATGATTCACTTTTCTTTTGTTAGAGGATGCTCACCAAGCACTTCTTTATAAAATAATTTATGGTCTTTCAGCTCATTCATTAAAAAATTATATGTGTAGTAAATTTAGTGCTGAGAAGAGAACCTTCAAATGGCCCATGAAGATTGTCAGAAACCATGCTGCCTGATGAAGAGTATCTGCAAAGCATGCCCTTAAATCTTTCTGAGTTCTCAACAAAGAGTTTTACAGTCACATTCATTATACTTTTGGCTTCATCTTTATCTGGAAACTGTGTTTTCCTGATAGCACACTTGATCTTTGCCCTGATGCACTATCTTGCTTCTAGAATATACTGCTAAAAAGAGACTGAGAATAAAAAAGAGTTTCATTTTCTGTCTTTTTTTTTTTTTTTTTTTTTGAGACAGAGTCTTGCTCTGTCACCCAGGCTGGAGTGCAGTGGCATGATTTTGGCTCACTGCAAACTCCACCTCGATTGTCCTGCCTTAGCCTCCTGAGTAACTGGGATTACAGGCACACGCCACCATGCTCAACTAATTTTTGTGGTTTTAGTAGAGATGGGGTTTCCCCATGTTGGTCAGGCTGGTCTCGAACTCCTGACCTCGTGATCCACCTGCCTTGGCCTTCCAAAGTGCTGGGATTGCAGGCGTAAACCACCGCACCTGGCCGAAAGTTTCATTATCTATCTCAGCAAATCCTGGCTCCTTTATATTATCTTTAAATTCTTCATGACGATTGAATAATAGCTTCTTTATATGATATCTCTCTATCTGTACCTTATTATTAGCAACTAAAAGAAGCCTGCTGGCACTTTTGACATTCTGTCTGGAAGCTCCCTAAAATAGATCCATCAGTTCAGTACGTGAAGCTCCGGTTTTCTGTATTGCCTTGGGTGACAGTTTTGCTGTGTTTCCTATCACTACATAATGAGGAATGGCCAAGAGGACTTCTTGACTCACATGTTGGGCATTCGGGCAGGAGTGGCTGGAACAGCGGAGGCAAGGTGGGCCTCTGCTCGTAGCTTCTCCACATAAGGAGCTTAGGCTTCTTCATAGCATGGCAGTCTCAGGATAGTCAGTCTTCTCATGTAGCAGCTGCATTCCCCTAAGAAAATATTTCAGAAGACAGAAATAGGAAACTACCAGTTTCCTTCGTTCTAGTCCTGGAAACAGCCACAGAATTAGTTCCAGCATATTCTATTTGTCAAAGCAGTCAGAGACCCTACCCAGATTTAAAGGGAGGGAACACAGCCTCTCCAAAGTATGAATATCAAATAATTTGCAGCTACCTTTCATTGTCCATATTTAATCCATGCTCTCCCCCTCCCCATTCCACTGAGTTTGAATCCTGTATCCCGCCATGTAATTGGCAGGTTCATGTGGATGTCCCAAAAGCATCTGACCAAGACAAAAGCCAAACTCACTTCTCCAGTGTTTCCTGCAGTAGTGAAGGACTCTGTCACTTATCAAAAAATTGGAGGTTGTCTTTGAAACTTCTCACACACTATATGCAATGCATCACCAACTGCTAATAATTTTACTTCATATGTATCATTATTTGCTTTTTTTTTTTTTTTTTTTTTTGAGATGGAGTCTTGCTTGTCACCCAGGCCGGAGTACACTGGTGTGATCTCGGCTCATTGCAACCTCCACCTCCTTGGTTCAAGCAACTCCCCTGCCTCAGCCTCCCAAGTAGCTGGGATTACAGGTGCGCGCCACTACACCCAGCTAATTTTTTTGTATTTTTAGTAGAGACAGGTTTCATCATGTTGGCTAGACTGGTCTTGAACTCCTGACTTCAGGCAATCCACCCACCTCGGCCTCCCAAAGTGCTGGGATTACAGGCATGAGCCACGGCGCCTGGCCATTATTTGCTGTTTTTAATCTGCTAGACATCCTTTCTAGAACTGCTATTTCTTGAGAATAATTTATCATTCAGATAGAAAAAGAATTGTGAAAAATTAACAATTATCTTAGAACTGCTTATTTCTTGTTTACAAAGCCAAAAGTCAGCAAGAATCTACATATTCCCCCCTCCACTTTGATTAAAAGCTGCATAGTTTTAATTAATGTCCTACAAACCATATGAATTAAAAAATTGTAGGAGGAAGAAAAGATGGTGTTGTTCTATAAAAGAATGAATTGCCACTTATTCCTTGGACAATGAAACTGTGCTTTGTAATACAGTTTGCATAAAGCTTTAAGATAGATAACTTTGCCAATTTTAGGAAGCTGTGCTTTCTGACTGTGAACTATACCACTGAAGTTATGTAACGCTGAGGCATGATTTCAACTTCATTCCTCATTTAGCTGACTTATTTTCATCACATTTCTATTGAACTTCTGTTTTTTTACTTTTGTCCTAGGACTGTACCAAGCTAGACATACTTCTGTTTATGAAGGGGAGATAAACCACTTGCCCTTCAATTTTAATCTCCCCTCATTCTATCAAATACATTTCTTACCAAGCTGAAGTCTAGTTTTCAATCTCTGGTCCAGGCTTTCCTCTGTCATGGGTAGGCTGCCTTCTAACCCTTGGTTAGTAGGAATATTTCAACTGTTATTAGGTTTGCAGTAAGACACCATACACAAATATAACTTTTTAAGTTTAAAATGAATTAATACCGAGTGTATGTCTGTGTCTATATGTAAATATAGACACATACATTTGGCTTATAATAAAATCTGATTTGTTACTTGTTTAAATTTGTGGAATGCTATACCCTCATCACAAAATAGTAACTACTATTATTAAGTGCTCATTTTGTTTCTAAAACTCACACAATATTGCAAGATCTTTATTATTCTATAATTTTTACAGATAAAAAATCTTAGTCTCTATCTTTAAGTGACTTTTAGGTCATATAGTAAATGGTAATCTGGAATGGCCTTCATGGTGCAGCTCTTTTGATCATACAACATGAATCCCATATAACCATGGAACCATTATTTGTGTTTCTGTCATAGCCCACATCACACATCTGCCATGTACTTAAATTATTTCTAAGCATGCTTGTCTTTCCCATTGTATTTTAGAGTCCACGCTTCCCTACTTAATAGCTTTTTAACATTGCAAAATGTATAACTTCCCTATTTCTTGTTTCTCATGTATGCAAAATGAGGGGGCTGAACTAGAAAGTCTTCATGGTCCCTTTTAATCCTAGTATTCAGGAATATCTATGACGGTGAATTCCTTGGAATAAAGCATTTATTCATCCTACAATTTACAGTCCAGTGCATTGTACCTGGTAAGTATTCCATAAATGTTTATTGAGTGACATTATAATGTAAAAATAATTAGCGTTTAAAAATCCATTTATAAATGTGTTTGTTCATCACTTATTGACTAACTGCAATCTATTAGGGCATCTTATTGCCCTCAAAGAATTTCCATCCAAAACTACAACTTTTGATCCTTTTTACATGTAATAACTTATATGAATTCCATAGAAAATTATGCAAGATAGATGTTATTACCGTTATTTTAATTTTAAATATGAGAAAATTGGTTAGTTGTGGTGGCTCACACCTGTAATCCTGATACTTTGGAAGGTTGAGATGGGAAGACAACTTGAGGTCAGGAGTTCGAGACCAGCCTGGCCAATAGGGTAAAACCCTGTCTGTACTAAAAATACAAAAATTAGCAGGGTGTGGTGGTGCACACTTGTAATTCCAGCTACTCAGGAGGCTGAGGTAGGAGAATCTTTTGGACCCAGGAGGTGGAGGTTGCAGTGAGCCAAGATCATGCCACTGCCCTCCAGCCTGGGCAACAGAGCAAGACTCTGTCTCAAAAAAATACATAAATAAAATAAAATAAAATATGAGAAAATTAAAGCCCAAAAAGGCTCATTGATTCATAGTAAGTGAAGGAGCCTGAATTGGAATTCTCAGTATCTGATTTTTAATTCCAGTAATATTTCCAGTAGAATATGATGTTCCCTAGATGTTTCCATTTTTCAGTGCCTAGTGGACTACAGAAGGGGAATGGAGAAGACAATAAGTTACAGTTGGGAAGGTCTAAGAATGATGACAAATTAGTATCAGGAATAATGGGGTGATAGGAGTTCCAATTTCCAGAGTTAAAGAAAATAAAGACTGAATACCACATCAGCATAACAAGGGAGACTTAGTAACTCTTGGAATAGTAATGAGACACAGTGGTGGTCACTGATTCTACGGGAGTAGTGAATGTTTGCAAATATCCTTCAGACATCTGAGAGCTGGAATTATAAACATCATCAGAAAAGTTAGCCAAGAAGCTTGAGATATGCAAAGGTGAATGGAAATATAAATATGCTAGAGTGAAGAAAAGGGTGGTAAGTAAATAATGTAGTATAAATTCATTTGTCCAGTATGTTTTCATTAATTTCCCCTACAGCTTAAGCCCAAATTAGTTTTACTTTTTCATCTAAAGTCGTTCAGGGATTTGGACCAAAAAGAAAAAAAAAAAAAAAACCGGCAAAAGGCTAACGAATTAAAATGTCAGGATAGAACTTTCACTTGAACAGGAAGGTCAGTTGGGAGAAACAGTGCAGCAAAAGACCTGGAAGGGTTTAGCAAGAACCGAAAAGAATGGAATTTGACAATGGATAAAGTTCTTCATACTGAGGCAGCTGTACCTTTTGTTTTGCCCACCTGTCAACTAGATTACTTTGATCCTGCATACATGAAGAAGGAAAGGAAATACAGGGATAAGAACAGCTCCTGACTCTGCATTTTAATATTTCTTTTTGAAACATGAGGTCTCAGAGAACCAATATCACATCTCCTACATGTACTAGATGCTTAGCCAATCTCACATACAACTGATCATAGAACTTTTTTTTCCTTTCAGAGGCATCTAAAAACAAAAGAGTTTCTCCTTTATGGAGAATGATGGTAAAGAGTGATGCCATATAAGTGCAGAAAGTAAAGATGATATTTCTTTAAATTCTTTAATACTTTTATCCTTCTCTGATTTGATAGTGATGACCCAATTCACTTGAAGGTAAAGCTTAATAGGTGAAGAAAATGAAAAGCACTGTTGATTTTTCCATACCCATCTACCTAAATCTATAGGAATAAATAAATTTTGCCAAAGAGTGAAATAAGTGTATTAAATCACTCTGCTGAAGGAGCTTAAAATTTAATAACATTCTTCTTTTGATGTTGCCCACTCCTTGATTCCATTAAAATTAAGTTTTAATAATAGAATGTCCAATAATACAACTCGCAGTCAGTGCCATTTATTTCTGGATCTCTTTTTCATTTTCCTCCATACTTGAAATTTTGTTAAGTTACCACTAACATAAAACCTAATTTAAGAGTTCTAGTAAAGAAATACTGCACATTAACTATGAAAACAAGTATGGGACCACTTCAGCAGAGCTTAAAAGAAAATCTACAATTGACTTATTAAGAATCAGAAGACGATCTTAATGGGAATGAGTCAGCAGGATCAGAAAAATTTTTTTATTATACTTTAAGTTCTAGGGTACATGTGCACAATGTGCAGGTTTGATACATAGGTATACATGTGCCATGTTGGTTTGCTACACCCATGAACTCATCATTTACATGAGATATTTCTCCTAATGCTATCCCTCTCCCAGCCCTCCACCACCAGACAGGCCCTGGTGTGTGATGTTCCCCACCCTGTGTCCAAGTGATCTCATTGTTCAATTCCCACCTATAAGTGAGAACATGCGGTGTTTGGTTTTCTGTCCTTGCGATAGTCTGCTGAAAATGATGGTTTCCAGCTTCATTCATGTCCCTGCAAAGGACATAAACTCATCCTTTTTTATGGCTGCATAGTATTCCATGGTGTATATGTGCCACATTTTCTTAATCCAGTCTATCATTGATGGACATTTGGGTTGGTTCCAAGTCTTTGCTATTGTGAATAGTGCTGCAATAAACATACATGTGCATGTGTCTTTATAGTAGCATGATCTATAATCCTTGGGTACATACCCAGTAATGGGATTGCCGGGTCAAATGGTAATTCTAGTTCTAGATCCTTGAGGAATGGCCACACAGTGTTCCACAGTAGTTGAACTAATTTACACTCCCACCAACAGTGTAAAAGCATTCCTATTTCTCCACATCCTCTCCAGCATCTGTTGTTTCCTGACTTTTTAATGATTGCCATTCTAACTGGCATGAGATGGTATCTCATTGTGGTTTTGATTTGCGTTTCTCTGATGACCAGTGATGATGAGCATTTGTTCATGTGTCTGTTGGCTGCATAGATGTCTTCTTTTGAGAAGGGTCTGTTCATATCCTTTGCCCACTTTTTGATGGGATTGTTTGTTTTTTTCTTGTAAATTTGTTTGAGTTATTTGTAGATTCGGGATATTAGCCCTTTGTCAGATGGGTAGATTGCAAATATTTTCTCCCATACTATAGGTTGCCTGTTCACTCTGATGGTAGTTTGTTTTGCCATGCAGAGGCTCTTTAATTAGATCCCATTTGTCAATTTTGGCTTTTGTTGCCGTTGTTTTAGTCATGAAGTCCTTGCCCATGCCTATGTCCTGAATGGTATTGCCTAGGTTTTCTTCTAGAGTTTTTACGGTTTTAGGTCTCACATTTAAGTCTTTAATCCATCTTGAATTAATTTCTGTATCAGGTGTAAGGAAGGAATCCAGTTTCAGCTTTCCACATATAGCTAGCCAGTTTTCACAGCACCATTTATTAAATAGGAAATCCTTTTCCCATTTCTTGTTTTTGTCAGGTTTGTCAAAGAGCAGATGGTCGTAGATGAGTGGTGTTATTTCTGAGGGCTCTGTTCTGTTCCATGGGTCTACATCTCTGTTTTAGTACCAGTACCATGCTGTTTTGGTTACTGTAGCCTTGTAGTATAGTTTGAAGTCAGGTAGTGTGATGCCTCCAGCTTTGTTATTTTTGCTTAGGATTGTCATGGCAATGCAGGTTCTTTTCTGGTTTCATATAAACTTTAAAGCAGTTTTTTCCAATTCTGTGAAGAAATTCCTTGGTAGCTTGATGGGGATGGCATTGAATCTATAAATTACTTTGGGCAGTATGGCCATTTTCACAATATTTATTCTTCCTATCCATGAGCATGGAATAGTCTTCCTCTTATTTGTGTCCTCTTTTATTTCATTGAGCAGTGGTTTGTTGTTCTCCATGAAGAGTTCCTTCACATCCCTTGTAAGTTGGATTCCTAGGTATTTTATTCTCTTTATAGCAATTGTGAATGGGAGTTCACTCAGGATTTGGCTTTCTGTTTGTCTGTTAATGGTGTACAGGAATGCTTGTGATTTTTGCACATTGATTTTATATCCTGAGACTTTGCTGAAGTTGCTTATCAGCTTAAGGAGATTTGGGGCTGATACGATGGGGTTTTCTAAATATACAATCATGTCATCTGCAAACAGGGACAATTTGACTTCCTCATTTCCTAATTGAATATCCTTTATTTCTTTCTCTTGCCTGATTGCCCTGGCCAGAACTTCCAACACTATGTTGAATAGGAGTTGTGAGCGAGGGCATCCCTGTCTCGTGCTAGTTTTCAAAGGGAATGCTTCCAGCTTTTGCCCATTCAATATGGTATTGGCTGTGGGTTTGTCATAAATAGCTCTTATTATTTTGAGATACATTCCATCAATACCTAGTTTATTGAGAGTTTTTAGCATGAAGGGCTGTTGAATTTTGTCAAAGGCCTTTTCTGCATCTATTGAGATAATCACGTGGTTTTTGTCATTCGTTCTGTTTATGTGATGGATTACGTTTATTGATTTGCATGTGTTGGACCAGCCTTGCATCCCAGGGATGAAGCCAACTTGATCGTGGTAGATAAGCTTTTTGATGTGCTGCTGGATTTGGTTTGCCAGTAATTTATTGAGGATTTTCACATCAATGTTCATCAGGGATATTGGTCTAAGTTTCTCTTTTTTTATTGTGTCTCTGCCAGGCTTTGGTATCAGGATGATGTTGGCCTCATAAAATGAGTTAGGGAGGATTCCATCTTTTTCTATTGATTGGAATAGTTTCAGAAGGCATGGTACCAGCTCCTCTTTGTACCTCTGGTAGAATTTGGCTGTGAATCAGTCTGGTCCTGGACTTTTTTGGGTTGGTAGGCTATTAATTACTGCCTCAATTTCAGAGCCTGTTATTGGTCTACTCAGAGATTCAACTTCTTCCTGGTTTAGTCTTGGGAGGGTGTACGTGTCCACGAATTTATCCATTTCTTATAGATTTTCTAGCTTATTTGCATAGATGTGTTTATAGTATTCTCTGATGGTAGTGTGTATTTCTGTGGGATCAGTGGTGATATCCCCTTTATCATTTCTTATTGCATCTATTTGATTCTTTTCTCTTTTCTTCTTTATTAGTCTTGCTAGCAGTCTATCTACTTTGTTGATCTTTTCAAATAACCAGCTCCTGGATTCATTGATTTTTTTAAGGGTTTTTTTGTGTCTTTATCTCTTTCAGTTCTGCTCTGATGTTAGTTATTTCTTGCCTTCTACTAGCTTTTGAATTTGTTTACTCTTGCTTCTCTAGTTCTTTTCATTGTGATGTTAGGGTGCCAATTTTAGATCTTTCCTGCTTTCTCTTATGGGCATTTAGGGCTATAAATTTCCCTCTACACACTGCTTTAAATGTGTCTCAGAGATTCTGGTACATTGTGTCTTTGCTCTCATTAGTTTCAAAGAACATCTTTATTTCTGCCTTCATTTTGTTATGCACCCAGTAGTCATTCAGGAACAAGTTGTTCAGTTTCCATGTAGTTGTGAGGTTTTGAGTAAGTTCCTTAATCCTAATTTGATTGCAATGTGGTCTGAGAGACAGTTTGTTGTGATTTCTGTTATTTTACATTTGCTGAGGAGTGCTTTACTTCCACTTATGTGGTCAATTATAGAATAAGTGCAATGTGGTGCTGAAAAGAATGTATATTCTGTTGATTTGGGGTGGAGAGTTCTGTAGATGTCTATTAGTTCTGCTTGTTGCAGAGCTGAGTTCAGGTCCTGGATATCCTTGTTAACTTTCTGTCTCGATCTGTCTAATATTGACAGTGGGGTGTTAAAGTCTCCCATTATTATTGTGTGGGAGTCTAAGTCTCTTTGTACGTCTCTAAGGACTTGCTTTATGAATCTGGGTGCTCCTGTATTGGATGCATGTATATTTAGGATATTTAGCTCTTCTTGTTGAATTGATTCCTTTACCATTATGTAATGGCCTTCTTTGTTTTGATCTTTGTTAGTTTAAAGTCTGTTTTATCAGAGACTAGGATTGCAACCCCTGCTCTTTTTTGCTTTCCATTTGCTTGGTAGATCTTCCTCCATTCCTTTATTTTGAGCCTATGTGCATCTTTGCACATGAGATGGGTCTCCTGAATACAGCACACTGATGGGTCTTGACTCTATCCAATTTGCCAGTCTGTTTCTTTTAATTGGGGCATTTAGCCAGTTTACATTTAAGGTTAATATTGTTATGTGTTAATTTGATCCTGTCATTATGATGTTTGCTGGTTACTTTGCCCATTAATTGATGCAGTTTCTTCATAGCATCAATGGTCTTTACAATTTGGCATGTTTTTGCAGTGGCTGGTACCAATTGTTCCTTTCCATGTTTAGTGCTTCCTTCATGAGCTCTTGTAAGGCAGGCCTGGTGGTGACAAAATCTCTCAGCATTTGCTTGTCTGTAAAGGATTTTATTTCTCCTTCACTTATGAAGTTTAGTTTGGCTGGATATGAAATTCTGGGTTGAAAATTCTTTTTTTTAAGAATGTTGAATATTGGGACCCACTTTCTTCTGGCTTGTAGGGTTTCTGCCAAGAGATCTGCTGTTAGTCTGATGGGCTTTCCTTTGTTAGTAACTTGACCTTTCTCTCTGGCTGCCTTAACACTTTTTCCTTCATTTCAACCTTGTTGAATCTGACAATTATGTGTCTTGGGATTGCTTTTCTCAAGGAGTATCTTTGTGGTGTTCTCCGTATTTCCTGAATTTGAATGTTGGCCTGCCTTGCTAGGTTGGGGAAGTTCTCCTGGATAATATCCTGAGAAGTGTTTTCCAACTTGGTTCCATTCTCCCCATCACTTTCAGGTACACCAATCAAATGCAGATTTGGTCTTTTCATATAGTCCCATATTTCTTGGAGGCTTTGTTCGTTTCTTTTTACTCTTTTTTCTCTAAACTTCTCGCTTCATTTCATTAATTTGATCTTCAATCACTGATACCCTTTCTTCCACTTGATCAAATCAGCTATTGAAGCTTGTGCATAAGTCAAGAAGTTCTCATGCCATGGTTTTCAGCTCCATTAGGTCATTTAAGGTCTTCTCTACACTGTTTATTCTAGTTAGCCATTCGTCTAATCTTTTTTCAAGGTTTTTAGCTTCCTTGCAATGGGTTCGAACATCCTCCTTTAGCTTGGAGAAGTCTGTTATTACCAACCTTCTGAAGCCTGCTTCTGTCAACTCATCAAAGTCATTATCTGTCCAGCTTTGTTCCGTTGTTGGCAAGGAGCTGCAATCCTTCGGAGGAGAAGAGGCACTCTGATTTTTAGAACTTTCAGCTTTTCTGCTCTGGTTTCTCCCCATCTTTGTGGTTTTATTTACCTTTGGTCTTTGATGTTGGTGACCTACAGATGGGGTTTTGGTGTAGATGACCTTTTTGTTGATGTTGATGCTATTCCTTTCTGTTTGTTAGTTTTCCTTCTGACAGTCAGGTCTCCCAGCTGCAGGTCTGTTGGAGTTTGCTGAAGTTCCACTCCAGACCGTTTGCCTGGTTATCACCAGCAGAGGCTGTAGAACAGCAAATATTGCCGAACAGCAAATACTACTACCTGATCCTTCCTCTGGAAGCTTCATCCCAGAGGGTCAGCCACCTATATGAGGTGTCTGTCGGCCCCTACTGGGAAGTGTCTCCTAGTTAGGCTACACAGGGGTCAGGGACCCACTTGAGGAGGCAGTCTGTCTATTCTCAGAGCTCAAACGCCGTGCTGGGAGAACCACTGCTCTCTTCAGAGCTGTCAGACAGGGATGTTTAAGTCTGCAGAAGTTTTCTGCTGCCTTTTGTTCAGCTATGCCCTGCCCACTGAGGTGGAGTCTAGAGGCAGTAGGACTTGTTGAGCTGTGGTAGGCTCCACCCAGTTCGAGCTTCCCAGCTGCTTTGTTTACCTACTCAAGCCTCAGCAATGGTGGACGCCCCTCCCCCAGCCAGGCTGCAGCCTCACATATCGATTTCAGACTGCTGCACTAGCAGTGAGCAAGGCTCTGTCAGCGTGGGACCCGCTGAGCCAAGCAGGGGAGAGAATCACCTTGTCTGCCGGTTGCTAAGACTTTGGGCAAAGCACAGTATTTGGGCGGGAGTGACCCGTTTTTCCAGGTAGTCTGTCATGGCTTCCCTTGGCTAGGAAAGGGAAATCCCCCAACCCCTTGCACTTCCCAGGTGAGGCGACACCCTGCCCTGCTTCAGCTCGCCCTCCGTGGGCTGCATCCACTGTCCAACCAGTCCTAGTGGGATGAACCAGGTACCTCAGTTGGAAATGCAGAAATCACCCATCTTCTGCATCAATCATGCTGGGAGCTGCAGACTGGAGCTCAGAAAAATTTTTTAATGTTTCTTACTCTCTTCTCCAACTCGTTTTGGTTTTGGTTTTGGTTTGGTTTGGTTTGGTTTTTTTTTCTTTTTTTTTTCCTGTGTTGCTCTATGTTTTGAAGACAACTTAGAGTTCATGGGCCTAGCCAAGCATTTTCTTTCTGTGTATTGAGCTGGGAAGGAAGAAAGCAAAGCTAGAAATGAGAACAAGTAAAAACTTCTTTCCAGCCATTGCTACATTCTTTTAAAGATTTTGACATGGTTATCTGTGCAGGAGATATAAAAAGAAAAAAGATTTCTATAAGCCTGAGGTGTAGCCCTACTACATGAATAACCCCGAGTCATTTCTTATGTAACTCAATCACAGGGAAAGTTAAAATTTTTAAAGCAACAACAGAGTGGTCTGTGTTGAATATCATTGCACCTCCATTGCTTCTACAGAATTTTTTCTTTTTGTCACTAAAGTTAGGAAACAAAGGAGCTAACTAGTTCGAGTCTGTTACTGATTTATCACTGGTTTTTGTTCTATTACTTAAGATTTCTGTGCCTTAGTTCCACAATTATAAAAGTGAAAAAGTGAACATTATTTTCTTGCACAAAATATTGTAAAGGCATTAAAATGTCCTGCACCAAATAAAATATCTGAACAAATAGGGAAATGAACATAAACAATATTGCTAACAACTATTCAGACCCAATGAGATTTGAAATATTACTTGTATAGGAGAGAATAATTGTAACTCGACTTAGCCAATGTTAGAAACATTAAAATTGACAGGATATCATCTTGTCTGACTCAATAATTTCCAATGCAATTGTAAATTTCAAGGACATCTCTGATCCTTTATTTCTACAGTATCTCAAAGTGCCAGAAACATCTCCTTTCAGTCTTAGCAGATCATGATTATGAATGTTTTTTCTTCTATAATTGTGGTTAATTTTGGGTTGGTGTTGGCCTAGAACCAGGAACTTTTGAAAAAATTTGTCTCTTCTGCTCTGACTCTTCTACTTGCTACCCAGATAGCAATGTGTTCCCATGGGATAAAGTAAGAAATATGTGAGCAACTTGGCTTAATATTATATTTTGTTCTATTTTCATCATGGTACATCTATCACACAAAGCAAAAATAACATTTAAAACCTGTTGCTGCATACTTTTTCATGCTGTACATTTTGCATAAATTGGATCATTTCTTCAACAGGGAAATTTGTCTTCTTGAATTTCGAATGTATAAAGAACTTTGATTTAATTAACTATATGAGTCATCATTCTGCATTTATAAATACCGCCTTTTCAAGTACTGAGAGCATCAAAACTGTTCTTTCCCCACTGAAGGACAATAAATTATGAAATATACACTGATGTTACAACATAAGTAAAAATTAGAATTCAGGTATCATTTCATCAGTGATATTCCAAGAATGGATAAGAAACTATACTAAAATGTTTACTGTAAGTTATTACTTCCCAAGATTACTAATTCTTATATTTGATGAAGACTGCTACAAAAATTAAATAATTAAAATCCTCATACAGCTTGCATTCATTTAAAATATGTTCACTAAAAGGTAAGAAATTCACAACAATTACTTAGTATTCTTGTTTTGGTTGTCTTTCTGACACTCATGCCTTTTGTCTTAATCTGAAACTGAAGTCTTTAA
This sequence comes from Homo sapiens, assembly GCF_000001405.40. Lineage (NCBI taxonomy): Eukaryota > Metazoa > Chordata > Mammalia > Primates > Hominidae > Homo > Homo sapiens. The sequence continues at coordinate 33,519,110 of NC_000012.12, read as the reverse complement.
AAGAAATTTTATCTCAAAATTATACTATGTAACTATTATAAGTGTCTTGCTAAAGAGAAAAAGTTAACTGCTTTATTGAATACTCTTAAAACTTGTTATTAAAAATATTAGAAATATTCTAATTCTATTAAGTGTAATGATATCACAGAGTTTTATCTTTATCATTTAGCTTATGGCAAAAACAATAGAATGTTTCCATATCATACGTATTTTAATAATCTTGTATGGAAAAAAAATCAGTTTCCATGTCCTGGAAAATCCATTTATTATGTGTAGAGACAGAAAGACTAAGTTTATTAAAGAGGTGTTAAATTTGTTACTATATCTAGATTCCTAATCCATATAAATAAGTGACTTTGTCACCAAATTATAATAGGCTCTTTTTATCATGCTGTGAAAGAATAAAAGAGATATCTTGAGGGTTGCAACAGAAACAGAAATTTCCACAAAGTCATTATAGTGCGAAATACTAACAAAAATTATTGACAAGTTTACCAGTTGTCCATTTATATTTGTCTTATTTAAAATGCAGGACATTCTAAAATAAACTTTTTCCATGTGTTGATTACTTCTTTCCATTAAATTATTTTGTTTCATAATCTATTCCAATGCTCTCTGCTCAGAACTAAAATGAAGTTCCTCTTTACTAAATGTACAGTGGTAAAATGCATTTGAAATATTAGGTTGGTGCAAAAGTAATGGCGGGTTTTGCCATTACTTTTAATCAATTACAACTTTAATCAATTATGACCTTTAAACTAAGGTCTTGTTTTATTATTAATCCCAAGAATAATGCTAGTGCCTTAGAAAATTTTATTAGGAAGGAGGTTGCATTTATCTTATAAGAAGTACTGTCACCACCTAATAGATAGGTTTTACTTATTTATTGTATTATCTTCTTCTCTAAAAGAATTTGATGTCTTCATGTATTGTTACTCACTTGCATAAAATTTTCAGTGATGTACATTTTTCAAAAAATAAACAACTACAAATTACTTTTAAATTATTTTCCTTTTAGAAATTTGCCCTTTTAAGCTTGTATAGTTTTAGTGGCTGTTCTTTCAATCCATTAGTATTAATGTTTATTTTAATGAATTGTTTTTGTCAAATTATTCTATACTGCATATTTTTATTTTGGTGGCTATGTAAAAAAAAAGTAAATTCTGATGTTTCATGTGGAAAATAGGCACATGTATGTGCTTTATTTAGCTCTGCGTCTAACTGGAAAATGTCTCCAGCATTTCATGCTATAAAGCAAGGTGGACTTCATTAATATCTGCCATACCCACCTCAGAGGGCTCTTGGGCAACAATATAACTGTAACTGTTTTAAAAAGTTAAACACCTCTCATTAATTTCCCAACCACAATACTATCATATAATGGATACTATTACCCATTCTCTTGAAAGAGGTAATTTTATGTTGATTTAGCAATCAAGGATACCAATCCTTGTCTTACAGCCATATTAAGGTTTTAATGAACAAAAAGGGGGGAAAAAAACCAGAAAATGTTCTCATCACATTTGAATGCTCCAGTGAGTCTCTGTATGAATTCTAAATATTCATGCATAGAAAAGAAATAGTAAAATAATTGCATTGAAATTTCCCATATGGAAAATATATGTAACCTTGTTTTGATTTATTTAATACATAACATATATATGATGTCTAAATTAGAATATTTTAAATATTGTCAAATTATTTCCCTAAAGGCAAGTCTTAATATAGTATTCTTAATTGCAATCCCTTTCTTAAACAACCTCATTGTTCTTTTAAAAGCAAAATTGTAAATGATAATACATTATCATTTTTGTTAATCAGTCACATACCATACTAAGCAATACTAGGTGCTTTAAATTAAAATCAAGTTCTAAGATGAAGTTTCTCATTTTGAATTTCAGTTATATCCGCAGATGACAGGTAGATAGATAGATAATGATAGAGATGGAAATCTCTCTCTCTCTCTAGAGAGATTCTAATATTGCTAATGTTATATAAATACTTTTAATGTTATATAAATATTCTTACATATGTGTATAAGAATACATATATACATATATAAGAATATACATATAAGGATAGCTAACGTTAAGTGACAGCCAGGTAATCTTTCTGAGAATGTACATCTTCCCCGAAAATTTAGACATGATTTAGTCACCACAGCCAAAATCTAACTTTAAAGATTAGTAACAAAGATGATGCATTTATTCTAATTTTTAGAGGTGAACTACTCAAATAATTTATTACAACCCCCATTTCTTCTACTAAGCCCAGATAGTCTCCTTCTTATACAACTGCCTAGTATCTAAGTTTCCCAAAAGCCTACAATTTGAAGTAGATTCAATGTACCTTAGGCCAAAGTTAAATTAGGTCAAAGTATATTTGGAAGGTCCCGATACTTTCCTGGGGCCACGCTTCCCATTTTCCCTATTCTTCCCTGATTTATATGACCTATGAGCTATATTCCAGCTAACATCCAATCCCTATTCTCCCTCTCCCAATCTTCTTAACTTCCACTGGCTCCAATTCTGCAAGAAATGAAATAATTCTTAAATGGTTACACTAATTAGCCAGTGACAACAAATGAGCTGCTTCTTAAGGATGAAATGGCAATAGAAGGCCTTGTTGTGTGTAACTTGAAGAAATATAGGCAAGTTCAGAGTCTCATTTGTCTTCACATTCACGTAACATAGGTTTCTGTTCTTCACTCTGAGAACATGGTTTAAAAACGGAAAGGCAAGAGTGATTGTGCTCCCTAGGACATGTGGTTCTGGAACAGACATGATGTTTTTCCTGTTTTAAATTTTATTGACTTTATTACATCTTAAACAGAATATTACAAACAATCAGAAAGTGGGATATTTAAGTAAGTATTTTTTTAAGTTTAACTTTCAAAAATGTGCTTACTTTTTATAAAAGGCAGATTTATACCAATAGCTTATATTTCCATTGTTTATATTGAATTTCTGACCATGGTAGCAATGTGATTTATTTAAATGATCCATTTTGAAGTAATTTGAGGCTCTTTTTAGTCAGTGGAAATTTTCATCTCTGGGCAGAGCCTCTTGATATATACCCACCATACATAAATATCATCATAGTTATATTCTGAGATAGGGTTGCATCTATGCACATCTCACTGCCACCTCACCCATGTCCCCTAGGGTTTATACAAATCTTGCCTCTCTGTTTTCTTCAGCTCTCCTTTCATAGGTCCTCATTCAAAAGCTGGAGAAAATTTCCCCATGATTTTAATTGAGTAATCCAAGGACACATGTTAATATCTTTCGGTTTCCAATTTAACCTACAACAATTAGAGCCATGGCACTGGCGTAGTTCAGCTACAGGTGGGCCAAGTCTGGAAAACAGACAACATCCAACATTTCCACAAAAGAAATTTTGATACAGAAAATAGATTACACAAGTTTTGGAGTGTTATAAGACGAAAAGGCGGTGCTCACTGTACGTATCAGCTACCACCCCGAAGTCGGTGGAATAAAAATAAAAGATTTGGTTTCTCAGAAATTAGGAGATCGGAAGTGAGGCTCTGCAAAGTAAGAGCTTAGGTTTTCAAAGGAAAGAAGCATCTTGGTTGCTACTAGTACCTTAAGAGCTTGAAGGGGAGTTCACAGGCCTCTGAGGAAGGGTTAGCAGCACCATCCAGCTTTTACTGGTGCCTTTGAGGGGGCAGAATGAGAGTGATTCTAGAAGTGCACATAAAATGGCTGAAAACAGAAGCCAACTGCCACTCCTGCAGTGATTGCTGCCGCTCAGGTGTGGTAAAGGATGATCAAAAATAAGAGGGAAGACTCTCTCCCTGACTGTGACCCTATATGTAGTGTAACGATTCTTAATTTAGCTGCTCATTAGAATCACTTAATATTTAAAACCCTGATGCCCACTCCACACTTGCAAACAATGAAATCTGAATTTGTGGACATAAAAATTAAGCAATAATAGTCTTAAAAGCTCCAAATGATTCCACTATGCAGCCAAGGTTAAGACCCACAAACCTAGTGCCTCCTACTGGCAGAAGCCCTCTAGTCAATGAATCTGAATAATAGGATTTGCAGTTCCTGCTCCAAAGGAGAGGAGAGAAGATAAAAAGGTGGATTTGGAGCACAGAGATAATATTTAACCAATCACTAAAAATATGACAAACATTTCTTGGCTATAAAGGCCAAATGAACTTGCGGAAATAGTAATAAAGGAAAATTTTAACCATCTATACTGATGTGTACCAATGTGGTTAACATATTGTGTATATATTATCAAAATTATTCAATTAAAAGCTTATATAGTCCAGGGTATATATGTGAAAATATATTTGACTGTATAACAACTCAACTTTCTATAATTTAATCAATAAATGTTTTAACATCATAAAAACCTAGGGGAAAGTCTTCGAGGTATAATAAATATGATTATGTTATCCTGATTATATTAGTTTCCATCATATACTTCTAAAACTGAATAATTTATGATACAAAGCTTTTAAAGTCTAAAATTTTGGCAATTTTAATTAAGAAAAGAACATAGTTCATTTATCTTAATGTCCCAAGCAATAAACCAGTACAAAAATAACCAGAACAATTACAGTAATGTCAAACTTGTAAAAGTTTCAAGTAATATTATCACTTGCAAACAGGTTTTGTATACTGTACAAGTTAACTTCAGCAAAGTTTGAGAATACATAAGCAATGTGCAAAAATTACTAGCATTCCTATACAACAACAATAGCCAAGCCGAAGGCCAAATCAGAAAGGCAATACCATTCACAATTGTTACAAAAAGAAAAAAAAAAACTAGGAATACAGCTACCCAGGAAGGTGAAAGTTCTCTACAATGAGAACTGCAAAACAATGCTCAAAGAATTCAGAGATGACACAAACAAATGGAAAAACATTCCATGCTCATGGATAGGAAGAATCAATGTTATTAGAATGGCCATATTACCCAAAACAATTTACAAATTCAATGCTATTCCTATATAACTACGAATGACATTCTTCACAGAACTAGAAAATAACTATTTTAAAATTCATATAGAACCACAAAAGAGCCCAATAGCCAAGGCAATCCTCAGCAAAAAGAACAAAGCTGTATGCATGACATTATCCAACTTCAAAATATACCCCAGGGCTACAGTAACCAAAACACCATGGTACTGGTACAAAACAGGTGCATAGACCAAGGGAACAGAATACAGAAGCCAGAAATAAGGCTGCACACCTACAAACACTGAATCTTCGACAAAGCTGACAAAAACAAGCAATGGGGAAAAGACTTCCTATTCAATAAATGGTGCGGGGATAACTGGCCAGCCATATGCAGAAGACCGAAGCTGGACTCCTTCCCTACACCATATACAAAAATCAACTCAAGATGGATTAAAGAGTTAAACATAAAACCCAAAACTACAAAAATCCTGGAAGACAAACTAGGCAATACCATTGTGGACATATGTATTAGTCTGTTTCCATGCTGCTGATAAAGACATACCCAAGACTGGACAATTTACAAAAGAAAGAGTTTCAATTGGACTCACAGCTCCACGTGGCTGAGGAAGCCTCACAATCATGGCACAAGGCAAGGAGGAGCAAGTCATGTCTTATATGGATGGCAGTAGGCAAAAAAAGAGAGCTTGTGCTGGGCAACTCCTGTTTTTAAAACCATCATGTCTCATGAGACCCATTTACTATCAGGAGAACAGCACAGGAAAGACCCGCCCGCGTGATCCAAACATCTTCCACCGTGTCCCTCCCACAACACGTGGGAATTATGGGAACTACAAGATGAAATATGGGTGGAGACACAGAGCCAAACCATATCAACATAGGAACAGGAAAAGATTTCATGACAAATACACCAAAAGCAATCATAGCAAAAGCAAAAATTGACATGTGGGATCTAATTAAACTTAAGAGATTCTGCACAGCAAAAGAAATGACCAATAGGGTAGACAGACAACCTACCAAATGGGAGAAAATATTTGCAAACTCTGCATCTGACAAAGGCCTAATATGCAGCATCTATAAGGAAATTAAACAAATTTACAAGAGAAAAACAAACAATCCAATTAAATAGTGTGTAAAGGACATGAACAGACACTTCTCAAAAGAAGACATTCATGCTGTCAACAAGCATATGAAAAAGCTAAATATCACTGATCATTAGAGAAATGTAAATCAAAACCACAATGAGAAACCATCTCACACCAGTCAGAATGGCTATCATTAAAAAGTCAAAAAATAACAGACTCTGGTAAGGTTGTGGAGAAAAGGGAACACTTCTACACTGTTGGTGGGAGTGTAAATTATTTCAGACATTATGGAAAGCAGTATGTGATTCTCAAAGAGCTAAAAGCAGCAACTACCATTGTTGGTATATACCCAGCAATCCCATTACTGTGTATATACCCAGAGGTATATACACACATAGAATATAAATCATTCTACCATAAAGACACTTGCATGCAAATGTTCATTGCAGCACAGTTCAAAATAGCAAGGATGTGGAATCAACCTAAATGCCCATCAATGACAGATTGGATAAAGAAAATGTGTTACATATAAACCATGGAATACTATACAGGCATAAAGAGAATGATATCACTTTTTTTTTTGCAGAAACATGGATGGAACTGGAGGTTATTATTCTCAGCAAACTAATACAGGAACAGAAAACCAAATACCACATGTTCTCACTTATAAGTGGGAGCTAAATGGTAAGAACTTATGAACACAAAGAGGGAAACAACAGACACTGGGATCTACTTGGGGGTGGAGGGTGGGATCAGGGAGAGGAGGAGAGGAACAGAAAAGATACTTGTTGGGTAATGGGCTTAATTCCTGGGTGATGAAATAATCTGTACAACAAACCCTGTGACATTAATTTACCTATGTAACAAAATTTCACATGTACCCCCAAACCTAAAATGAAAGTTCAAAAGAAAAAAAAGACTTCACATCTTCTCCAGCACAAGTTATTGAACATACATGACTAATGACTAATATTGTATTTAGTGACACATACTCTAAATTTTATACTACTGAATAGAGCAAAGATAGGGAAAAAATATAAATGCATCCACAAGATATGAGTGTTCCTTAGTAGTATTTATTGATATATCTTAAGAGATATATCTGTGAGATTGGTCAGCCAGAAATCTAGATGGCCAAAATGAGTAAGGTGATTTACAGAATTTTGACTTACTTTCAGGCTATTTGATTTCATTGACTTGGATGCATTAGGCCATGAAACCAGATGTTAGTAAACATAAAATCTCATTTGTAGCTACTCTTGATTTTGGTTAGGGTGGGTCACGGGGACACTCATGATCAAGATTCCAGACTTGAAAATCTATTACGTTGTCCCCAAAGATCCCTGAATGTACTGCCTGACTCTGCATTCAAACACCTTTGCTTATGAAATGAATTGTTTTAACCTTTGATTAATATTTTTAAAAATTATTTGTCTTGTCTTTTTAACATAATATGTCCTTTTTTAATCTTTTTATTAAGCTGTAAATAACAGGAGGTCAGATTATCTTGTACAAATATGTAACAAAGATGGATTTACAGAATCAGAAGAGGCTTCATAGATCACCAAAGTTCAAACCTCCTTTATCCACATCCCTATTTTATGGATGAAATGGTAATTTCTCAGATGTCACGTGTTGTGGTAGACCTAAATGTGGATCACCAATTCTAGTTATCATTTACCAAACTGAATATACCACTTGTTAGGTGATCAATAAACTCTTATTGAGGAAATAAGTGAACACATAAATAAAGTTATTAATGAAACAATGATGAATAAGATATAACATCCTAAATTCACACAAATATAGAAATTCAGTTCTCATAGAGACAAGATTTGTTTAACAAGCTCCTTAATGTTGTCTTTCGTGACCCCTTCAACAATTCCACCTTAATTACATATCCACTTGCTTTAAAAGGAATTGTGCAGGTTATTAAAGCTGAATATCAAGGTGATCTTACCAGTTTTAGATGAAACAGTATTTCTTGAGGTTGATGTAGAAGATTATACTTTATACTTCTATGATCTTTCTGTGTGTCTGCTCCTTGTTAGTCTTAGAAAGTCTGCTGTATATGCCAAGAAGAAAAGAAATTGTGCTGTTTCTGCTCAAAATATATTATACACTTATTCTTTGTTTGATGCATCATTAAAATTTTAAAACTGCTATTGAAACTCCAGAAGGGTGTTTGTTAAAAACCACCTAATTGAGAAATCATTGACATATAAAAGCTGTATGTTTTTAACATATACATCTTGATGAATTTGAGAAAAAGTATACCCCATGAAACCATCACCTCCATCAAGGCCATAAACATATCCATCACCTCCCAAAGTTTCCACTATGCCCTTTGTTATTGTTATTGTTGTTGTTTTGTTTTGGTTAGAGCGTTTAACGTTAAGATCTACCCTCTTAGAGATTTTAAGTATAACATTCGGTATTGTTAGCTATAAGTACTATGCTGTATGGCAGATCTCCAGAACGTACTTGTATAACTGAAACTTGGTATCTATTAAACATTACCTCCCTCTTTCCTACTCCCCCAAGCCACTGGCAACCACCATATTATTATCTGTTTCTGCTTCTATGAGTTTGACTATTTTAGATTCCACATATGAGATCGCACAATATTTGTCTTTCTATCACTGGCTTATTTCACTTAGCATAATGTCTTCTAGGTTCATCCATGTTATGGAAAATAGCAGGAATTTTTTTCTTTTCTAAGGCTGAAAAATATTGCATTATATGTACATACCATACTTTATACATTCATCCTTTGATAGACACTTAGGTTGATACTATATCTTGGCTATTGTGAATGATGCTGCAATGGACATAGGAGTGCAGATGTCTCTTCGAGAAAGTGATTTTATTTTCTTTGACTATGTACCCAGAATTGGGATTGCTGGATCATATGGTAGTTCTATTTTTAACTTCTTGAGGAAACTCCATACGGTTTCTCCAAATCCTTGCCAAAACTTATCTTTTTTAAAGTAGTACCTATTCTAACAACTGTAAGGTGATATCTCATTGTGAATTTAATTTGCATTTCCCTGATGATTAATTATATTGAGCACCTTTTCATATACCTGTAGGTATTTGTATATTTTCCTTGAATAAATGCCTATTCAAATTCTTTGCCCATTTTTTAGTCTGTTTACATGATTTTTGTTCTGGTGGTGGGTTTTTTGTTTTGTTTTGTTTTGTTTTTTGCTATTCAGTCATACGTGTTCCTTCTATATTTTGGATTTTAAACCCTTATTATATATATGCTTGGAAACTATTTTCTCCCATTCCATAGGTTGCCTTTCATTTTGTTGATTGTTATCATTGCCGTGCAGAACTTTTCAGGTTGATATAATCCCACATGTTTATTTTTGCTTTTGTTGCCCATACCTTTGCTCTTATAGCCAGGAATCATTGCCAAAACCATTGTCAAGGAGATTTTCCTTAAGTTTTCTTCTAGGGATTTTATGGTTTCAGGTCTTATGTTTAAGTCTTTAATACACTTTGAGTTGATATTTGTATTTGTTATAATTGTCTAATTTTATTATTTTGCATGTGGATATCCAGCTTTCCTAACACCATTTATTGAAGAAACTATCCTTTCTCCATTGTATATTCTTGGAGCCCTTATCAAAATTAGTTGACTATATATGAGTAGGTTTATTTACATGCTTTCTATTATTCTCTCTTGGTGTACATGCCTGTTTTTATGTAAGTACCATACTATTTTAATTACTATCAGTTTGTAATATAATTTGAAATTAAGAAGTATAAATGCCTCCAGCTTTGCTCTTTCTGAAGCTAATTGCTTTGGCTATTGATAATCTGTATTGATTTCATATAAATTTTAGAATTTTTTTTTTAATTCTTGAAAAATGCCATTGGAATTTCAACAGATCTACAATGAATTTGTAGATACACTGGGTAGTATGAACATTTAACAACATTAATTCTTCCAAACCATGAACACAAGATATCATGTCATTTATTTGTGTCTTCATTAATTTCTTTCGTCAGTGTTTTATAGTTTTCAGTGTATAGATACTTTGTCTTTTTGGTTAAATTTACACCTATTTTATTCTTTTTTTATGCTATTTGAAATGGGACTGTTTTCTTAATTTCTTTTTCAGATAGTCTGTTATAGGGTGTAGAAACACAACTGATTTTTTTAGGTTGATTTTGTATCCTGCAATTTTAGTAAGTTTATTAGTTCTAACAGTTTTTGATGGAGTCTTGAGGGTTTTCTATATATAATATCATGTTATCATCAAACAGATAATCTTACCTTTTTCTTTTTTTGGCTAAATGCTCCAGCTAAGACTTCTAGTACTACGTTAACTACAAGTGGTGAACACGGACATACTTGTCTTGTTTTTTATCTTAGAGAAAGGCTTTCAGCTTTTCATCATTGAGTATGATGTTAGCTGTGGGTTCATCATATATAGCCTTTATTATGATGTTGAAGTGCCTCCCCTCTATACCTAATTTCCTGAAAGTTTTTACCATGAGACGATGTTAAATTTTTTTACCTTCTTTTTCTTCATCTATTGAGATGGTCACATAATTTTATCCTGTATTCTTTTAATGTGGTGAATCACATTTATTGATTTATGTATGTTGAAGCATCCTTGCATCTCCAGGATAAATCCCACTTGATCACGGAGTATTATTCTTTTAATGTCCTCTTGATTTGCTTTGCTAGCATATTTTTTTGAAGATTTTTGCATCTGTGTTTCTAAAAGATATTGGCTTATAATTTTCTTTTATAGTAGTGTCCCTGTCTGGCTTTTTATCAGGGTAATGCTTCCCTCCTAGAATGGATTTGAAACTGTTGCCTCTTCCTCATATTTTTTCAAAGAATTTGAAAACAATTGGTGTTAATTCCTATTTAAATGTTTGTAAAATTCTTCAGTGAAGCCATGTGGTCCTGGGCTTTTATTTGGGTGAGAGACTTTTGATTACAGATTAAATCTCTTTCCTCATTGTTGGTCTGGTCTGTTCATATTTTCTGTTTCTATAAGATTCAGTATCAGTAGATTGTATGTTCCTGAAAATTTATCCATTTCTTTTAGGTTATTCAATTTGTTGGCACATAATTGTTCATAGTATTCTCTTACAATTCTTTGCATTTCTGTGGTATTAGTTGTATCATCTCCTTTTTCATTTATGATTTTATGTGAGCCTTCTCTGTTTTTTTCTTAGATACCCTAGATAAAATAACAGTTTGCTAATTTTGTTATCTTTTCAAAAAACTCATTCTTTATTTCACTAATCTTTTCTATTGTTTTCCTAGTCCCTATTTCATTTATTTCTGCTCTAAGTTTTATTATTTTCTTCCTTCTGAAAACTTTGGGATTTGTTTCTTTTTCATTTTCTAGGTCCCTCAGGTATAAATTTAGGTTGCTTATTTGAGATTTTAGTGTAAGCATTTATCACTACAAACTTTTCTCTTAGAACTGTTTTTGTTGCATCCTGTTAGCTTTGGTATTTTTGTAATTTTTATATGCCTCAAGATTTTTTTTAATGTCTTTTTTGGTTTCTTCTTTGTCCCATTTGTTGTTCCAGTATATGTTGTCTAATTTTAATGTATTTGTGAGGTTTTTTTTCCTCCTGTTGCCAATTTCTAGTTTCAGACCTTTGTGGTCAGAAAAGAAACTTCATATCATTTCAGTCTTCTTAAATTTGTTAAGAGTTATTTTGTGCCTAACATATAATATCAATTTTGGAAAATAACACATGTGCACTTGAGAAGAATGTATATTCTGTTGCTGTTGGAAAGAAATGATCTGTATATGTGTGTTAGGTTAGTTTGGTCTACACTGTTGTTCAAATCCACTCTTTCCTTATTGATTTTGTGTCTGGATAACCTACCTACTGTTGGAACTGGGGTAGTGAAGTCCCAAACTATTATTTTATTGCTATCTATTTCTTCCTTCAGGTTTGTTAATATTTGCTTTATATATCTATGAGCTCTGATGTTGGGTAGATGTATATTAACAATTGCTATATCCTTTTGATGAATTGACCTCCTTATTATTATATTATGACCCTCATTGTCTCTTGTAACAATTTTTGACTTAAAATCTGTTTTGTCTGATATAAGTATAGCCACCCGCCACTCTCTTTCCATTTGCATGGAAAATATTTTTCCATCTCTTTGGTGTCACATGTTTGCCCTTAAAACTAAAGTGAGTTTCTTATAGACAGTATATAATTATATGTTAGTTTTTCATAATTTATTCAGCCACTCTGTCTTTTCACTGGAGAATTTAACTCATTTACATTTACAATAATTACCAATAGGCAAGGATTTACCATTGCCATCATGCTCATTGTTTTTTAACTGTTTTATAATTCCTTTGTTCCTTCATCTGCTGCTGTCTTAACTTGTGTTTTGAACATTTCTTATGATACACGTTGAGTATGTCTTTTCCAAAATGCTTCTGACAGAAGCGTTTTGGATTTCAGATTTTTTTGAGTTGTGGAATATTTGCATTATGTTTACCAGTTGAGGATCTCAAATCTGAAAATCTGAAATCTGAAATTCTCCAACAAGCATTTTCTTTGTGTATCATGTCAGTGCTCACAGAATTTTAAATTTTTGAGCATTTCAGATTTGGAATTTTTTTATTTGGTATGCTGAACTGATATTATGCTCTGATTCCCTTCTATTTATCTTTTATGCATCTACTACAGGCTTTTTCTATCTTATTACCATGAGACTTACATTACAAATCCTATAACAGTCTATTTTAAGCCTATAATTTTATTATATACAAAACCTTTACACCTTTAGTTCTCTCCCATCTTTTAATGCTATTGATGTTCAATGTGTGTCTTTTATATTGTATATCCATTATCCATTATTATTGTGTCCACAGTTATTTTTAATATTTTTGTTTTATAACTTTCGTACTAGAAATAAAAGTAATATATGCAGCATATTTACAATATTAGGTTATCCTATATTTGTTACATATTTATCTTTACCAATGAGTTTTATATGTTCATATGTTTTCATGCTGCTGATTAGCATCTTTTTGTTTCAGCTGGATGAATTCCCTTTATCATTTCTTGTAAAACAGTCTGATGATAATCAACTCTCTCAGCTTTTGATTGTCTGGGAAAGTCTTTATCTCTTCTTCATTTTCAGAAGATAGTTTTACCAAGTATAATATTCTTAGCTGACAGAGACAGAAGAGAGTGAGAAAAAACAGAAAGATTATTTAAAGAAATAATGACTGACTACTTCCCAAATTAGGGGAAGGAAATAAACATCAAGATCCAAGAAGCCCAAAGGATAACAAAATAATTAACCCACAGAAATTCACACCTAGAAACATTATAATCAAATTATTAAAATCAAAAACAAAGAGAAAACTTTGAAAGCAGCAAGAAAAACCAACTTGTCATAATAAGGGGAACCTCCACAAGTCTGTCAGATTTTTCAGTAGAAACCTTGTAAGCCAGGAGAGAATTGAATGGTATATTCGAAGTACTAACAGAAAAATTCTTCTAACCAAGAGTATTATGCCTTGCAAAATTGTCCTCCATAAACAAAAGAGAGAAAAGCTATGTACAACAAACAAAAGCTGAAGGAATTTATCACTATGGGAACTGCTTTACAATAAATGCTAAAGGGGTTACTTTTAGTTGAACAAATATATACTAAACAGCAACACAACAGCATAAAGAAGCATGAAACTCACTGTTAACAGTAAACATACGTATATATTATTAAGAAATACAGAATATTGTATTACAGTAATGGTGGTAGGTAAATCAATTTTACTTCTAGTAAAAAAGTTAAAAGACAAAATGATTACAAAGGTCTATAAATCAAAATTATGTTTAGAAATCCACAATATGAATAGGTGCAAATTGTGACAACAATAACATAAAGTGTGTGGCAGGAAACAAAGTGCAGAGTTATTGTTAATGAAATTAAGTTGTTACACGCTTAAAATATATGGCTATAACTATAAAATATTTTATGTAAGCCAAGAGGTAAATATACAAAAAACTATAAATTTACACAAAAGAAAAAGGGAGATACAAAAAATAATAAAATACAAAGGAAAACAGCAAGAGAAACAGTGGAACAAAGAACTGCAAGACTAAGATAAAACAATTAACAAAATGGTAATACTAAACCCTTCCCTATCAATAATTACTTTAAATGTAAACAGATTTAACTCTGTGATCAAAGAGCATAAAGTGAATTAATGGATTAAAAAAAAAGACCCAAATACATGCTTTGCACAGAAACTCATGTTAGATTTAAGAATACACATTGGCTGAAAGCAAAAGGATGGAAAAAGATATTCTAGGCAAATGGTAACCAAAAGCGAGCAAGAGTAGCTATATTTATGGCAGGCAGAATACACAATAAGTCAATAACTGTCACAAAAGACAAAGCAAGGCATTTTATGATTAAGGGTCAAACCACAAGGAAAATATAACAATCATAAATACATGCACACATCAGAGCACCTAATATATGATTAAAACATTGACAGAACTTTAGGGAGAAATAGACAGCAATGCAATGATTGCAGGAACCTTCAAGAATGAACATACTGCCTAGACAGATGATCATCAAGAAAATAGAAAGAAAATTCTGAACATTATAGACCAAACGGACTAACAGGCAAGTACATAAAAATCAACCTACCAGCAGTAGAATATACATTTTCCTCAAATACACATAGAGCTTTCTTTAAGATATAGCATGTTAGTTTACAAAACAAACCTTAACAAATTTAAGAAGTTGGAAATCATACAAAGCATCTTTTCTGACTACAGTGGACTGAAACAAGAAATCAACATCCAAAGGAAAACTGAAAAATTCACAAATAAATGAAAATTAAATAGCATATTCTTGAACAACCCTTGGGTCATAGAAATAAAAAAGGAGATAAGAAAATACCTTAAGACAAATAACTGTAAAACAAAACATACCAGACCTTAGGGAATGCAGAAGAAGTTCTAAAAGTTTTATTGCAATAAAACCTATATGAAAAGAAATAAGGCTTTCAAATAACCTAACTTTACACCCCTAGGAACTAGAAAAAAAAACTCAAGCACAAAATTAGCAGAAATAACAAAGACTGGAGCATAAATAAATGGAAAAGAGAGAATAGATAAAATAAAAAACCAGGCTGGGTGCGGTGGCTCATGCCTGTAATCCCAGCACTTTGGGAGGCCGAGGCAGGTGGATCACGAGGTCAGGAGATCCAGACCATCCAGGCTGACAAGGTGAAACCCTGTCTCTACTAAAAATACAAAAAATTAGCCAGGTGTGGTGGCGGGTGCCTGTGGTCCCAGCTACTTGGGAGGCTGAGGCAGGAGAATGACGTGAACCCGGGAGGTGGAGGTTGCAGTGAGCTGAGATCGCACCACTGCACTCCAGCCTGGGTGACAGAGCAGGACTCTGTGTCAAAAATAAATAAATAAATAAAATTTTAAAAAATGAACAAAACTAAGTTTAAAAATAATAATAAAATTGACAAACCCTTAGACTACCTAAAAAATAACGAATAAAACTCAAATAAATAAAATCAAAAAAGAGGAAATATTGCAACTGATGCCACAGAAATAAAATAATTATTAATGACTACTGTAAACAATTATATTCCCACAACTAAATAACTTTTCTTAAACATGAAACAAAATTCTTATAATGATATAATCTCCTGAGACCAAATCATGAAGGACTAGAAAGTCAGAACTAACCTATAACAACAAGGAGATTTAATCAGTTGAAAAAACGACAACAACAACAAAGAAAAGTCCGGGACTAGATAGCTTCACTCATGAATTCTACCAAACATTTAAGGAATTAACAGCAATTCTCAAATCTTCCAAAAAATTGAAGATGAGGGAACACTTCCCAACTTATTTTATGATGCCAGAATTACCGTGATACCAAAGCAACAAAAAGACTACAAGAGAAGTAAACTAAGAGTCAGTATCCCCGATAAATTTAGATGCAGAAATCCTCTACAAAATACTAGCAAACCAAATCCAACAGCACAGTAAAAGAATCACACACCATGACCAAGTAGGATATAGCCCTGGAATGCTGATATGGTTCAGCATGTGAAAATCAATCAAATTGGTATGCCACATTTACGGAATAGAGAATAAAATCACATGATTGCAATAGATGCTGGGAAAGTATTGGATAAAATTCAACATTCTTTCATGAGAAAAACTGTCAACAAACAAAAATTAGAAGGAAAAAATTTCAAGATAACAAAGACCATATATGAAAAGCTGTAAGCTTTTCCATGGGCTTACTCAATGGTGAAAAATTAAAATTTTTCCTCTAAGATCAGGAACAAAGCAAGGATTCTCATTTTTATCACTTCTATTAAACACAGTATTGGCAAGTCCCAGCCAAAGAAGGTAGACAAGAAAAAGAAATAAAAGGCATTCAAGTAGGAAAGGAAGAAATGATATTATCCCTGTGTGCTGATGACATGATCTTATATATAGAAAATCCTAAAGATTTCACCAAACAACTATTAGAATTAGTGAAAATTTTCAATAAAATTACAAGATACAAATCAACATGCGAAAAGTCATGTGTTAATATACACTAACAATGTTCTTTCTGAAAAGAATTAGGAAATCAATCCCATTTACAATAACACCAAAAAGAATAAAACACTTAGGAATAAACTTATCTAAGAAGGCAAAAACCAATACATAGAAAACTATACAATCTAATGAGAGAAATTAATAAGAACACAAATAAGTGGAAAAGCTTCATATGTTCATAGATTGGAAGAATTAATGTCTTAAAATGTTTATACCAGCTGGGCGAGGTGGCTCACACTGTAATCCCAGCACTTCGAGAGGCCAAGGCAGGTGGATCACGAGGTCAGGAGTTCAAGACCAGCCTGGCCTAGATGGTGAAACCCCATCTCTACTAAAAATACAAAAATTAGCTGGGCATGGTGGGAGGCACCTGTAATCCCAGACTCGTGAGGCTGAGGCAGGAGAATCATTTGAACCTGGGTGGCAGAGGTTGCAGTGAGCCGAGATCCCACCACTGTACTCCAGCCTGTGTGATAGAGTGAGACTACATCTCAAAAAAAAAAAAAAGGTCATACCACCCAAAGTGATCTATAGATTCAGTGCTGTCCTTATCAAAATCTCAATGGCATTTTTTTTTTTGCAGGACTAAAAAGGAGCCAACCCAAAATTTATGTGGAATCTCAAAGAACCCTGAAGAGTCAAAATAATCTTGAGAAAGAAAAACAAATCTGGAGGCCTTACACTCCCTGATTTCAAAACATAACAAAGCTACAGTAATTGAAAAACATACTATGGTCCTGACATAAGGACACACATATACATCTATAGAACAGAATTGAGGGTCCCAAAATAAATTCTCATGCATATAGCCAAATTATCTTTGACAAGGTTACAAAATGGGAAAAGACTAGTTTCTTAAAAAAATGGTCCTGGGAAAACTGGATATCTACACATAGGAAAACTAAGTTGGACCCTTAACTTACACCACATACAGACATTAATTCAACATGGATTAAAGACCTAAATGTAAGACCTGAAACTATAAAACTCTTAGGAAAAAACAGAGGAAAACCTTCATGACATTATATTTGGCAGTGATTTCTTGAATACGACATCAAAAGCACTAGCAACAGAAGCAAAATTTATATAAATGGGAGTATATCTAACTTTAGAAAATACTGTGAAACAAAGGAAGTAATTAACAGAGTGAAAAGGCAACAGACAGAATGGCAAAAAATAATTTCAAACTATATATCTGATAAGAAGTCAATATTCAGAATACGTAAAGAGCTCCTACAACTCAAGAATAATAAGAGTAACTTGACCCCAAAAAATGGGCAAATTACTTAAGTAGACATTTCTCCAAAAAAGGTGTACAAATGGTCAACAAGCACATGAAAAGATGCTTGTTTAATACCATTAATCATCGGGGGAAAACAAATCAAAACCACAATGAGATATTACATTACCAACATTAGGATAGCCAGTGTATGTCTAAATTTAAAAAAAAAGAAAATAATAAGTGTTGACAAGAATGTAGAGAAATTGGAAACCTTGTACGTCGTTGGTGGAAATGTAAAAATGTTCTGCTACTATAAAAACAGTGGAAGTTCCTCAAGAAATTAAAATTATTAATATAACTACCAAATGACTAACAGTGCCCCTTCTGGGAATTTATCCAGAAGAAGTGAAGTCAGTATTTTGAAGACATATTAGGACTCTAATATGATAGATAAAAGGAATACAATGATAATACTGATAGATAAAAGGAATGATAGATAAAAGGAGTGATAGATAAAAGGAAAGTGGTATATACATATATATATACATATATTGAAATATTATTCACTCTTTAAAAAAGCATATGTGACAACACGGATGATCCTTGAGGACTTTATGCTAAGTGGAATAAGCCAGTCACAGAAAAACAAGTACTGCATGATTCCACTTATATGTGATATCTAAAATAGTCTAATAAAATCTGAGAGTGGATAGTGGGTGCCAGGAGCAGGGGATGGGGCAAACTGGGAGTTATTATTTAACAGGCATAAACTTTCACTTAAAGAAAATGAATAAGTTCTAGAGAGCTGCGACATAACATCAGTCCTGTAGTCAACAATACTGTATAGTACACTTAAAAGTTTAAGATCACAGATCTCACGTTAAAGTTCTTGCCACAATAAAACAAAATTAATAATTAATAAAGCTTTTGAAAGATAACTGAAGGGTTGGGGCGGTGACTCACTCCTGTAGTCCTAGCACTTTGGGAGGCCGAAGAGGCTGGATTTCCTGAGCTCAGATTTCGAGACCAGCCTGGGGAACACGGTGAAACCCAGTCTCTACTAAAAATACAAAAAATTAGCCGGGCCTGGCAGCATCTGCCTGTAATCCCAGCTACTCAGGAGGCTGAGACAGGAGAATCATTTGAGCCCGGGAGGCAGAGGTTGCAGTGAGCCAAGACTGTGCCACTTCACTCCAGCCTGGGTGACAGAGTGAGACTCCATCTCAAAAAATAAAAATAAAAAGATATTCCAGGCTCATGGATTGGAAGAATTAATATTGTTAAATGTCCAGACTACACAAAGCAATCTACAGATTTAATGCAATCCCTATCAAAATACCAGTGACATTCTTCACAGAAATAAAAATAAATCTTAAAATTCATATGAAACTACAAAAGTCACAGAGTAGCCAACCCATCCTGAGCAAAAAGAACAAAACTGAAGGAATGACATTACCTGACTTCAAGTTATACTACAGAGCTATAGCAACCAAAACAGGATGGTACTGGCATAAAATCAGACACAAAGACCAGTGGAACAGAATAGAGAGCTCAGAAACAAATCCACACAACTACAGTGAACTCATTTCTGACAAACATCCCAAGAACATATGTTGAAAAGAGGAGAGTCTCTTCAATAAAGGGTGCTGGGAAAATGAGATATCCATATGAAAAAGAATAAAACTATTCATCTATAGTTTTATTCCATTGTGGTCAGAAAAGATATTTGATAAATTTCCATTATTTTGAATTTTTAAAGAATTGTTTTGTGACCTCACATTTAGTCTATCCCTGAGAAATATCCATATGGGATAGGAGAAGAATGTGTATTCTGTAGGCATCAGATAAAATGTTCTACAAATGTCTATTAGGTCTATTTGGTCTGTAGTGCAGGTTACATCTGGTGTTTGTTTGTTTATTGATTTTCTGTTTGAATAATCCTTCTAATGGTGAAAGTGGGGTGGTGCAGTCTGTGGATATCATTACATTGAGGCCTAGCTCTCTCTTTAGCTCTAATAGTTATTTAATATATCTGCATGCTTCAGGTTTGGGTGCATATATACCTATAATTTTTATATCCTCTTGCTGAACTGATCCATTTATTATTATATAAAAATCTTTGTCTTTTTTGTACTTA
Organism: Homo sapiens; assembly: GCF_000001405.40. Taxonomy (NCBI): domain Eukaryota; kingdom Metazoa; phylum Chordata; class Mammalia; order Primates; family Hominidae; genus Homo; species Homo sapiens. The sequence continues at coordinate 33,499,100 of NC_000012.12, read as the reverse complement.
TGTCTTGAAATCTATTTTTTTTTATTATACTTTAAGTTCTGGGATACATGTGCAGAATGTGCAGGTTTGTTACATAGGTATACACGTGCCATGGTGGTTTGCTGCACCCATCAACCCGTCATCTACGTTAGGTATTTCTCCCTGACCTATTCCCCCACCCTATGGGAGGCCCCTATGTGTGATGTTCCCTGCCCTGTGTCCATGTATTCTCATTGTTCAACTCACACTTATGAGTGAGAACATGCAGTGTTTGGTTTTCTGTTCCTGTGTTAGTTTGCTGAAAATGATGGTTTCCAGCTTCATCCATGTCCCTGCAAAGGACACGAACTCATCCTTTTTTATGGCTGCATAGTATTGCATGGTGTATATGTGCCACATTTTCTTTATCCACTCTAACACTGATGGACATTTGGGTTGGTTCCAAGTCTTTGCTATTGTGAATAGTGCTGCAATAAACATAAGTGTGCATGTGTCTTCATAGCAGAATGATTTATAATCTTTTGGGTATATACCCAGTAATGGGATTGCTGGATCAGATGCTATTTCTAGTTCTAGATCCTAGAGGAATTGCCACACTGTCTTCCACAATGGTTGAACTAATTTACACTCCCAACAGTGTAAAAGCATTCCTATTTCTCCACATCCTTTCCAGCATCTGTGGTTTCCTGACTTTTTAATGATCACCATTCTAACTGGCATGAGATGGTATCACATTGTGGTTTGATTTGCATTTCTCTAATGACCAGTGATGATGAGGTTTTTTTCGTATGTTGGTTGGACGCATAAATGTCTTCTTTTGAGAAGTGTCTGTTCATATCCTTTGCCCACTTTTTGATAGGGTTGTTTTTTCTTGTAAATTTGTTTAAGTTTCTTGTAGATTCTGGATATTAGTCCTTTGTCAGATGGGTAGATTGCAAAAATTTTCTTCCATTCTTTAGGTTGCCTGTTCACTCTGATGATAGTTTCTTTTGCTGTGCAGAAGCTCTTTAATTTAGTTGATCCCATTTGTCAATTTTGGCTTTTGTTGCCATTGTTTTCGGTGTTTTAGTCATGAAGTCTTTGCCCATGCCTGTGTCCTGAATGGTACTGCCTAGGTTTTCTTCTAGGATTTTTATGGTTTTAGGTCTTACATTTGAGTCTTTAATCCATCTTGAGTTAATTTTTTATATAAGGTGTAAGGAAGGGGTCCAGTTTCAGTTTTCTCTATATGGCTAACCAGTTTTCCCAACACCATTTATTAAATATTGAATCCTTT